>NC_000023.11:84280723-84583754 GCF_000001405.40 Homo sapiens | reverse complement strand
TGCACAGTCACTAGCCATTTAACAATGTGCCCAGTAGAAAAGATATTTTGAAATGGAATAATTCACTAGAAACAAGAACCATAATTCATTCCTAAAATAAAATAACTTTTCTGTTTAGTCAGAAATTATACTAGAAAGAGATATTCTGCACTGATATCATCAACAAATTGTTTTATTTTGCTTGGTGGATTAATCCACTTTCTACTATTTGTTTCAAACTATTAGTGAACTGTAAGTTTATTGTCAGATTAATTTCAAAAATATATGTGGAAATCTTTGAAAAAGTGAGAAGTCCTATACAAATATGAGTGCCATTATTATTTTTAATTACCTATTGTGCAGTACAGCATATTTTCCAGCAGTGTTACACTAATGAAGAAAAATTTTTACATGCACACTGAAAAAAGTTTGATTTTCATATATTTTCTCATAGAGGGAGGAAATTAGAAAAAAATAAAAATCATTAAGTCTTCAGATTCCTGAAAGACAGTGTGTTGTCTTGGAGCCAAACATACCCAGACTCACTACTTATTAGCCAAATGGCCTTGAACAAGTGGGTTAACCTTATCGAGCCTCCATTCTCTCCTCTGTAAAATGGAAATAATATTTCATGTTAGGATTAAATGATTTTCATAATTTATATAAAATAACAAACACAAGGCCTGACACTTAATAATGCTAATGAGATATTTAAGATGTGTGGGTGTTTTGGGTCAAATTATGCCCTCTCCCTAAAAAAAAAAAAAAAATTAAAGTCCTAACCTCCAGTATCTCAGAATGTGATCTTATTTGAAAAGAGGGTCATTGCAGATGTAATCCTTAAGATAAGGTCATACTGGAGTAGAGTGGGACCCTATTTTATTATGACTGGTATCCTCATAAAAAGATTGCCATATGAGAACACAGAGGCACATAGGAAGCATGACATGTGACAATGAAGGCAGAGATTGGAGTTATGTAGCTGCAAGCCAAAAATACCAATAATTACTGGCAAAACACCAGAAGCTAGAAAGGGGCAAAGAAGGGTTCCCCCACAGGTTTGAGAGGGAGTGTGACCCTGTCAACATGTTGATTTCAGACTTCCAGCATTCACGTTGTGAGATAATAAATGTCTGTTGTTTTAAGACACCCAGTTTGTGGTATTTTGTTACAGAAATCCTAGAAAGTGAATCCTGATTTTCGTTAAAAAAAATTATCATTGCCTATTATTAAAAAGTCAAAAAGTAACAGATGCTGGTGAGACTTTAGGGAAAAGGGAACACTTATAGACTACTGGTGGAAATGTATATGAGTTCAGCCCCCATAGAAAGCACTTTGGAGAATTCTCAAAAACCTGAAAATAGAATTAACATTTGACTCCAAAATCCCAATACTAGGTATATATCCAAAGGAAAATAAGTTTTTCTACCAAAAAGACACATGTACTCATATGTTTATCACACTAATTATAATAGCAAAGATGTAGAACCAGCTCAGGTGCCCATCAATAGTAGGTTGTATAAAGAAAATCTATGCAACCATACAAAAGAATGAAAATCATATCCTTTGCAGCAAGAGTGATGCAAGTGGAAGCCATTATTCTAAGTGAATTAATGTAGTAATAGAAAACCAGATATTGCATATTCTCACTTATAAGTGGGAGCTAAACATTGAGACACACAGACACAAAGATGGGGAAAACGGACACTGGGGACTCCAAAAGGAAAAGTCAGACAGGCAGGCAAGGCTTGAAAAACTACCTATAGGGTACTATGTTCACTATTTGGGTGATGGGCTCAATAAAAGCCCAAACCTCAGCATTGCACAATATACCCACGTAACAAATCTGCACATATACCCCCTGAACCTACAATTTAAAAAACAGAAATGAAAAATAGAATTTAAAAATTGATATAAAAACATGACAGACCCAGAAAAGCCAAAGTGATCTTTAGCAAAAGGAGCAAAACTTGAAACATCACACTTTTTGAGTTATAAATGTATTACAAATTTAAAGTAATTAAAACTGTCTGATAACAGCATAAAGACAGACATACAAACCAATGAAACAGAACAGAAAGCCCCCAAGTAAACCCAAGTGTATACAGTCGATTGATCTTCTATGAGGTTGCCAAGAGTGCACAATTGGGAAAGGATGATCTCTTCAACAAATGGGACATGAACAACTGGTTATTCACAAGCAAAATAATGAAATTGGTCCATTATTGTACATTATGCACAAAAATCAACTCAAAATGGATTAAAAACCTAAATATAGCCCTGAAACTGTAAAACTTCTAGGATAAAATGTAGGGAAAAGTCTTCTCAGCATTGATCTTGGCAACAATTTTTGGTTATGACATTAAAAGCATATGCAACAAAAACAAAAACAGACAAGTGGGATTACATCAAACTAAAAAGCTTTCACAGAGCAAAGGCAACATTCAACAGAGTGAAAAGTTAAGCCACAGAATGTGAAAAATGTTTTAAATCTATGTATCTCATAGGCATTTGTATTAGTCCATTTTCACACTGCTATGAAGAAATACCCGACTGGGTCATTTATAGAGAAAAAGATGTTTAATGGACTCACAGCTCCACCTGGCTGGGGAGGCCTCACAATTATGGTGGAAGGTGAAGGAGTAGCAAAAGCAGGTCTTATATCATGGCAGGCAAGAGAGCTTGTGCAGGGGAACTGCTCTTTATAAAACCATCAGATCTCCTGAGACTTATTCATTTTCACAAGAAGAGCACAGGAAAACCTGACCCCATGATTAAATTACCTCCCACCATGTCACTCCTATTACATGTGGGGATTATGGGAGCTAAAATTCAAGACGTGATTTGGGTGGGGACACAGCCAAACCATATCATTCCACCTCTGGCCTCTCTCAACTCTCATGTCCTCACATTTCAAAACCAATCATGCCTTCCCAACAGTCCCACAAACTCTTAACTCATTTCAGCATTAACTAAAACATCCACAGTTCAAAGTCTCATCTGAGACAAGGCAAGAATCTTCTGCCTATGAGGTGTAAAATCAAAAGCAAGTTAAGTACTTCCTATATACAATGAGGGTACAGGGATTGAGTAAATACACCCATTTCAAGTGGGAGAAATTGGTCAAAATAAAGTGGCTACGGGCCCCATGCAAGTCCAAAACCCAATAGGGCAGTCAAATCTTAAAGCTCCAAAATGATCTCCTTTGACTCCATGTCTCATACCCAGGTCATGCTGATGCAAGCAGTGGGTTCCCATGGTCTTGGGCAGCTCCATTCATGTGGCTTCGCAGGGTACAGTCCCCTTCCTGGCTGTTTTTATGGGCTGGCGTTGAATGTCTGTGGCTTTTCCAGGTGCACAGTGCAAGCTGCCAGTGGATTTACCATTCCAGTGTCTGGAGAACGATGGCCCTCTTCTAATGGCTCCACTAGACAGTGCCCCAGTGAAGACCCTGTGTGGGGGCTCTCACCTCATATTTCCCTTCCACACTGCCCTAGCAGTTCTCCATAGGGCTCTGCCCCTGCAGCACACCTCTGCCTGGACATCCAGGCATTTCTATATGTCCCCAAAATCTAGTTGGAGATTCCCAAATTTCATTTCTTGACTTCTGTGCACCCACAGGCCCAACACCATGCATAAGCTACCAAGGCTTAGGACTTGCAGCCTCTGAAGCAACAACCTTAGCTGTATGTTGGCCCTGTTTGGCCATGGCTAGGACACAGGACACCAAGTCCCAGGACTGCATAAAGCAGCAAGGCCCTGGGCCTGGCCCAGAAAACCAATTTTTCCTCATAGGCCTCCAGGTCTGTGATGGGAGAAGCTGCCGTAAAGACTTCTGACATGATATGCCCTGAAGACATTTTCCCCATTGTCTTGATTAACATTTGGCTCCTTGTTGCTGATGCAAATTTCTGTAGCTGACTTGAATTTTTTCTCATAAAATTGGTTTTCCTTTTCTATTACATAATTAGGCTGCAAATTTTCTGAACTTTTATGCCTACTTCCCTTTTAATCATAAGTTCTAATTCCAAACCATATCCCTGTGAATGAATAAAACTGGCTGCTTTTAACAGCAACCAAGTCACATCTTGAATGCTTTGCTGCTTAAAAATTTCTTCTGTCAGATAACCTAAATTATCTCTCTCAAGTTTAAAGTTCCACAGATCTCTATGGCAGGGGAGATATGCCACCAATCTTTTTCCTAAAACATAGCAAGAGTCACCTTTATTCCACTTCCTAACAAGTTCTTCATCTCCATCTGAGACCACCTTAACCTGGATTTCATTGTCCATACCACTATCAGCATTTTGGTCAACACCATTGAACAAGTCTCTAGGAAGTTTCAAACTTTCCCACATCTTCCTGTCTTCTGAGCCCTCCAAACTGTTCCAACCTCTGCCTGTTACCCAGTTCCAAAGTCACCTCCACATTTTCAGGTACCTTAACAGCAGTACCCCACTCTACCAGTACCAATTTACTGTATGAGACCATTTTCACACTGCTATGAAGAAATACCTGAGACTGGGTAATTTATAAGGAAAAAGAGGTTTAATGAACTCACAATTCCACATTGCTGGGGAGGCCTTACAGTCATGGAGGAAGGTGAAGGAGGAGCAAAGGCACGTCTTACATGGTGGAAGGCAAGAGAATATGTGTAGGGGAACTGCCCTTTATAAAACCATCAGATCTTTGGGACTTATTCACTCTCACCAGAAGAGCATGGGATAACCTGCCCCCATGATTCGATTACCTCCCACCAGGTCCTTCCCATTACACGTGGTGATTATGAGAGCTACAATTCAAGATGAGATTTAGGTGGGGACACAGCCAAGCCGTATCAGCATTAATATCCAAAATATATAAGAAACTCCAAGAATTCAGTGTTTTAAAGACCCGAATAACCCAATTTAAAAATGGACAAAGGACTAGAATAGACATTTTTAAAAATAAGACATACAAATGGCCATCAGATATATTAAAAGTTGCTCAACATCATTAACCATCAAGAAAATGCAAATGAAAACCATAATGAGATATAATCCCTTACCTGTTAGGATGGCCATTACAAAAAAAAAAATTACCTTTTAAGTTTTGGGGAGGATGTTGAGAAATTGGAACACTGTACACTGTTGGTGGAAATGTAAGATGATGCAGCCACTGTAAAAAAAACAGTATGTAGACTCTTCAAAAAAGTAAAAAAATAAAACTATTATCCAGCTAACCCTCACGTTTCAGACAGGCGTGTGTATACATGCATACCTTGGAGATATTGTAGGTTAGGTGTGTAGACCACCACACAAAAGAAAATAGCATGAAATAGCAAGTCACACTAGGTTTTTTATTGCCCAGTGCATATATAAGTTATGTTTACACTATATTGCAGTCTGTTTAGTGTACAATAGAATTATGTGTAAAACACTATGCACATACCTTAATTTAAAAATACTTTATTTCTAAAAAACGCTAACAACATCTGAGCCTTCAGCAAGTCATAATCTTTCTACTGGTAGAGGTTCTTGCTTCAGTGTTGGTGGCTGCTGATTTATCATGGTGGTGGTTGCTGAAGGTTGAGGTGGCTGTGGCAATTTCTTAAAATGAGACAGCAATGAAGTTTACCACATCAGTTTACTCTTTCATTTATAAAAGATTTTTCCATAGCATGTGATAATGCTCGGTAGCATAGTACAAACAGCAAAACGTCTTTCAAAATTTGAGCCACTTGTCTCAAATCCTCCTCTGCTTTATCAACTAAGTGTAAGGAGTATTCTAAATTTGTTGTTCTCATTTCAATAATGTTCACACCATCATCACCAGAAGTAGATTCCACCTCAATAAACCACTTTCTTTGTTCATTCATAATAAGCAACTCCTCTTTTATTCAAGTTTTATTGTAAGATTGCAGCAATTCAGCCACATCTACAGCCTCCACTTCTAATTCTATTTCTTTGTTTCCATCACATCTGCAGTGACTTCCTCCACTGAGTCTTTAATCCCTCAATCTTATCTGTGAAGGATGGGATCAACTTATTCAAATTTCTGTTAATGTTGATATGTTTATCTCCTCCTGTTTTTCATAACTGTTCTTTTATAATTAAACTTTAAGTTCTGAGATACGTGTGCAGAACATGAAGGTTTGTTACATAGGTATACACGTGCCATGGTGGTTTGCTGCACCCATCAACTCATCATCTATATTAGGTATTTCTCCTAATGCTATACCTCCCTTACCCCCAAGCCCCTGACAAACCCCGGTGTGTGATGTTCCCCTCTCTGTGTCCATGTGTTCTCATTGTTCAACTCCCACTTATGAGTGAGAACATGTAGTGTTTGGTTTTCTGTTCCTGCGTTAGTTTGCTGAGAATGATGGTTTCCAGCTTCATCCATGTCCCTGAAAAGGACATGAACTCATCTTTTTTATGGCTGCATAATATTCCATGTTGTGTATGTGCCACATTTTCATTATCCAGTCTATCATTGATGGACATTTGGGTTCGTTCCAAGTCTTTGCTATTGTGAATAGTGCTGCAATAAACATATGTGCATGTGCCTTTAGAGTAGAATGATTTATAATCCTTTGGGTATATACCCAGTAATGGGATTGCTGGGTCAAATGGTATTTCTGGTTCTAGATCCCTGAGGAAGTGCCACACTGTCTTCCACAATGTTTGAATTAATTTACACTCCTACGAACAGTGTAAAAGCATTCCTATTTCTACACATCCTCTCCAGCCTCTGCTGTTTCCTGACTTTTTAATGATTGCCATTCTAATTTGCATGAGATGGTATTGCATGATTTGCATTGTAGTTTTGATTTGCATTTCTCTAATGTCAGTGATAATGAGCTTTTTTTCATATGTTTGTTGGCCACATAAGTGTCTTCTTTTGAGAAGTGTCTGTTCATATCCTTCACCCATTTTTTGATGGGGTTGTTTGTTTTTTTCTTGCAAATTTGTTTAAGTTCTTTGTAGATTCTGGATATTAGTCCTTTGTCAGATGGATAGATTCCAAAAATTTTCTCCCATTCTGTAGGTTGCCTATTCACTCTGATGATAGTTTCTTTTGCTGTGCAGAAGCTCTTTAGTTTAATTAGATCCCATTTGTCAATGTTGGCTTTTGTTGTCATGGCTTTTGGGGTTTTAGTCATGAAGACTTTGCCCTTGCCTATGTCCTGAATGGTATTGCCTAGGTTTTGTTCTAGGATTGTTATGGCTTTAGGTCTTACATTTAAGTCTTTAATCCATCTTGAATTAATTTTTTATAAGGTGTGAGGAAAGGGTCCAGTTTCAGTTTTCTGCATGTTTTCCCAACACCATTTATTAAATAGGGAATCCTTTTCCTATTGCTTGTTTTTGTCAGGTTTGTCAAAGATCAGATGGTTGTAGATGTGTGGTGTTATTTCTGAGGCCTCTGTTCTGTTCCATTGGTCTATATATCTGTTTTGGTACCAGTACCATGCTGTTTTGGTTACTGTAGCCTTATAGTATAGTTTGAAGTCAGGTGGCATGATGCTTCTAGCTTTATCCTTTTTGCTTAGGATTGTCCTGGCTATACCACCTCTTTTTTGGTTCCATATGAAATTTAAAGTAGTTTTCTCTAATTCTATGAAGAAAGTCAATGGTAGCTTGATGGAGATAGCATTGAATCTATCAATTACTTTGGGCAGTATGATCATTTTCATGATATTGATTTTTCCTATCCATGAGCAGAGAATGTTCTTCCGTTTGTTTGTGTCCTCTCTTATTTCCTTGAGCAGTGGTTTGTAGTTCTCCTTGAAGAGGTCCTTCACATCCCTTGTAAATTGTATTCTTAGGTATTTTATTATCTTTGCAGCAATTGTGAATGGGAGTTCACTCATGATTTGCTTCTCTGTTTGTCTGTTATTAATGTATAGGAGTGCTTGTGATTTTTGCTCATTGATTTTATACCCTGAGACTTTGCTGAAATTGCTTATCAGCTTAAGGAGATTTTGGGCTGAGACAGTGGGGTTTTCTACGTACACAACAATCATGTCTTTTGCAAATAGAGACAATTTGACTTCCTCTCTTCCTCTTTGAATATACCCTTTATTTCTTTCTCTTACCTGATTACCCTGGCCAGAACTTCCAATACTATGTTGAATAGGAGTGATGAGAGAGGGCATCCTTGTCTCAAGCCAGTTTTCAAAGAAAATGCTTACAGCTTTGGCCCATTCAGTATGATAATGGCTGTGGTTTTGTCATAAATAACTCTTAATATTTTGAGATACCTTCCATTAATATCTAGTTTATTGAGTTTTTAGCATGAAGGGGTGTTGAATTTTATCAAAGGCCTTTTCTGCATCTGTTGAGATAATTATCTGGTTTTTGTAGTCTGTTCTGTTTATGTGATGGATTACATTTGTTGATTTCTTTAAGTTGAACCAGCATTGCATCCCAGGGATGAAGCTGACTTGATCGTGGTGGATAAGCTTTTTAATGTGCTGCTGGATTCGGTTTGCCAGTATTTTACTGAGGATTTTTGCATTGATGTTCATCAAGCATATTGGCCTGAAATTTTCTTTTTTTTTCCTGTCTCTGCCAGGTTTTGGTATCAGGATGATGCTGGCCTCATACAATGAGTTAGGGAGGATCCACTCTTTTTCAATTGTTTGGAATCATTTCAGAAGGAATGGTATCAGCTGCTCTTTGTACCTCTGGTGGAATTCGGCTGTAATTCTGTCTGGTCCTGGACTTTTTTTGGTTGGTAGGCTATTAATTACTGCATTAATTTCAGAACTTGTTATTGTTCTATTCAGGGATTCGACTTCCTCCTGGTTTAGTCTTGGGAGGGTGTATGTGTCCAGGAATTTATCCATTTCTTCCAGATTTTCTAGTTCATTTGCATAGAGGTGTTTATAGTATTCTCTGATGGTAGTTTGTATTTCTGTGGGATCAGTGGTGATATCCTCTTTATCATTTTTTATTGTGTCTATTCGATTCTTCTCTCTTATGTTATCTATTAGTTTGTCTAGCAGTCATTCTATTTTGTTGATCTTTTCAAAAAAAACATCTCCTCGATTCATTGATTTTTTGAAGGGTTTTTTGTGTCTCTATCTCCGTCAGTTCTGCTCTGATCTTAGTTTTTTCTTGTCTTCTACTAGCTTTTGGATTTGTTTACTCTTGCTTGCCTAGTTCTTTTAATTGTGATTTTAAGGTGTTGATTTTAGATCTTTCCCGCTTTCTCCTGTGGGCATTTAGTGCTATAAATTTCCCTCTAAACAGTGCCTTAGGTGTGTCCCAGAGATTCTGGTACATTGTGTCTTTGTTTTCATTGGTTTTGAAGACCTTCTTTATTTCTGCCTTAATTTCATTATTTACCCAGCAGTCATTCAGGAGCAGGCCTTTCAATTTCCATGTAGTTGTGCAGTTTTTAGTGAGTTTCTTAATCCTGAGTTCTAATTTGATTGCACTGTGGTCTGAGAGACTGTTTGTTACCATTTCTGTTCTTTTACACTTGCTGAGGAGTGTTTTACTTCTAATTAAGTGGTCAATTTTAGAATAAGTGTGATGTGGTGCTGAGAAGAATGTATATTCTGATGATTTGGGTTGGAGAGTTCTGTAGATCCAACTTGGTCCAACTTAGGTCCAACTTAGGTCCACTTGGTCCAGAGCTGAGTTCAAGTTCTGAATATCCTTATTAATTTTCTGTCTTGTTGCTCTGTTTAATATTGACAGTGGGGTGTTAAAGTCTCCCACTATTATTGTGTGGGAGTCTAAGTCCCTTTTTAGGTCTCTAAGAACTTGCTTTATGAATCTGGGTGCTCCCGCATTGAGTGCATATATATTTAGGATAGTTAGTTCTTTTTGTTGCCTTGGTCCCTTTCCCATTATGTAATGCCCTTTTTTGTCTTTTTTGATCTTTGTTGGTTTAAAATCTGTTTTATCAGAGACTAGGATTGCAACTCCTCCTTTTTTCTTTTTCTTTTTTCTTTTTTTGTTTTTGCTTTCCATTTGCTTGGTAAATCTTCCTTCATTCCTTTATTTTGAGCCTATGTGTGTCTTTGCATGTGAGATGCGTCTCCTAAATATAGCACACTAATGGGTCTTGGCTCTTTATCCAATTTGCCAGTCTGTGTCTTTTAATTGGGGCATTTCACCTATTTACATTTAAGGTTAATGTTGTTATGTGTGAATTTGATCCTGTTATTATGATTCTAGCTGGTTATTTTGCCCATTAGTTGATGCAGTTTCTTCGTAGTGTTAATGGTCTTTACAATGTGGTATGTTTTTTCAGTGGCTGGTGCCGGTTTTTTCTTTCCATATTTACTTCTTCCTTCAGGAGCTCTTGTAAGGCAGGCCTGGTGGTGACAAAATCTCTTAGCATTTGCTTGTCTGTAAAGGATTTTATTTATCTTTAGCTTATGAAGCTTCGTTTGGCTGGATATTAAATTCTGGGTTGAAAATTCTTTTATTTAAGTATGTCGTATACTGGCCTCCACTGTCTTCTGGCTTGTAGGGTTTCTGCAAGGAGATTCATTGTTAGTCTGATGGGTTTCCCTTTGTGGGTAACCCAACATTTCTCTCTGGCTGCCCTTAACATTTTTTCCTTCATTTCAACCTTGGTGAATCTGACGATTATATGTCTTGAGGTTGCTCTTCTCGAGGAGTATCTTTGTGGTGTTCTTTGTACTTCCTGAATTTGAATGTTGGCCTGTCTTGCTAGGTTGGGGGAAGTTCTCCTGGAGAATATCCTGAAGAGTGTTTACCAACTTGGTTCCATTCTCCCTGTCACTTTCAGGTACACCAATGAAATGTGGATTTGGTCTTTTCACATAACCTCATATTTCCTGGAAGGTTTGTTCATTCCCTTTCATTCTTTTTTTCTCTAATCTTGTCTTCACGCTTTATTTCACTAAGCTGATCTTCAATCTCTAGTATCCTTTCTTCCCCTTGATCGATTCAGCTATTGATACTTGTGTATGCTTCACAAAGTTCTCGTGCTGTGTTTTTCAGCTACATCAGGTCATATATGTTCTTCTCTTAACTGGTTATTCTCATTAGAAATTCCTCTAACCATTTTTTTTTCTAGGTTCTTAGCTTCCTTTCATTGGGTTAGGAAATGCTCCTTTAGCTGGCAGGAGTTTGTTATTACCCACCTTCTGAAGCCTATTTCTGTCACTTCCTCAAATTCATTCTCAGTCTAGTTTTGTTCCCTTGCTGGCAAGGAGTTGTGATCTTTTGGAGAAGAAAAGGCATTCTGGACTTTGGAATTCTCAGCCTTTTTGTGCTTGCTTTTCCTCATCTTTGTGGATTCATCTGCCTTTGGTCTTTGATGTTGGTGACCTTCAGATAGGGTTTCTGTGTGGATGTTCTTTTTGTTGATGTTGATGCTATTCCTTTCTGTTTGTTAGTTTTCCTTCTAACAGTCAGGCCCCTCTTCTGCAGGTCTGTTGGAATTTGCTGGAGGTCCACTCCAGGTCCTTTTTGCCTGGGTATCACCAGCAGAGGCTGCAGAACAGCAGAGATTGCTGCCTGTTCCTTCCTCTGGAAGCTTTGTCCCAGAATGGCACCTGCTAGATGCCAGCCAAAACTCTTCTGTATGAGGTGTTTGTTGAACCCTGCTGTGAGGTGCCTCCCAGTCAGGAGGCACGGGGGTCAGGGACCACTTGAGGAGGCAATCTGTCCCTTACCAGAGTTTGAGCGCTGTGCTGGGAGATCTGCTGGTCTCTTAGGCAGCAGGCAGGAACGTTTAGGTCTGCTGAAGCTGCACCCACAGCCGCCCCTTCCCCCAGGTGCTCTGTCCCAGGGAGATGGCAGTTTGATCTGTAATCCCCTGACTGGGGATGCTGCATTTCTTTCAGAGATTCCCTTCCCAGAGAGGTGGAATCTAGAGAGGCAGTCTGCCTACAGTGGCTTTGACGAGCTGTGGTGGGGTCCACCCAGTTCGAACTTCCCAGCGGCTTTGTTTACACTGTGAGGGGAAAACCGCCTATTCAAGCCTCAGGAATGGCAGATGCCCCTCCTCCCACCAAGCTTGAGCATCCCAGGTGGACTTCAGACTGCTGTGCTGGCTGTGAGAATTTCAAGCCAGTGGATCTTAGCTTGCTGGGCTCTGTCGGGGGTGGGATCTGCTGAGCTAGACCACTCGGCTCCTTGGCTTCAGCCCCCTTTCCAGGGGAGTGAACGATTCTGTCTCGCTGGCATTCCAGGTGCCACTGGGGTATGAAAAAATCCTCCTTCAACTAGCTTGGTGTCTTACCAAATGGCCGCCCAGTTTTGTGCTTGAAACCCAGGGTCTTGATGGTGTAGGCACCCGAGGGAATCTCCTGGTCTGCAGGTTGCAAAGACCATGGAAAAAGTGTAGTATCTGGGCTGGAATGAACCATTCCTCACAGCACAGTTCCCTCACAGCTTCCCTCGGCTAGGGGAGGGAGATTCCCGACCCCTTGTGCTTCCCAGGTGAAGCGACACCCCACCCTGCTTTGGCTTGCCCTCCATGGGCTGCACCCACTGTCTAACCAGTCCCAGTGAGATGAGCCAGTTACTCAGTTGGAAATGCAGAAATCACCCACCTTCTGCATTAATCTCTCTGGGAGCTGTAGACCAGAGCTGTTCCTATTCGGCCATCTTGCCAGCCACCCTCATAATTGTTCTTAAAGGTATATATAATGGTGAATCTCTTTCAGCAGGTATCAGTGGTCTGATCTTTGCCCAGATCCATCAGAGGAATCACGATCTATGGCAACTATAGTCTTACAAAATGTACTTCTTAAATAATAAGACTTGAAAGCCAAAATTATTCCTTGACTGATGCATGGGCTACAGAATGGATGTTATGTTACCAGGCATTAAGCAACATTAGTCTTTGTACACCTCCGTCACCTCCATCAGAGCTCTTGGTGACCTGGAGCATTATCAGTGAACAGTAATATTTTGATGTGTGTGTGTGTGTGTGTGTGTGTAGTATATACATACCAAAGGATATCTAAAGGATTTTCAGAATGATAAACATTGGCTTCAACTTAAGTATACCAAGCTGCATTATTCCCTAACAAGAGAATCAGCCTGTGCTTTGAAGCCAGGCATTGACGTTTCTCTAGCTATAAAAACCCTAGTTGGCATCTTCTTCCAATAAAAGGCTGTTTCTTCTACATTTAAAATATGTTTTTTAGTGTAGCTATCTGCATCAATTATCTTAGGTATATATTTTGGATAACTTGCTGCCATTTTTACATCAGCTCTTCCTGCTTCATCTTGCACCTTTATGTTATAGAGGAGGATTCTTTTCTTAAACCTTATGAGCCAGCCTCTACTAGCTTTCAACTTTTTTTCTGAAGATTCCTCACCTCTCTTGCCCTTCATAGAATTGAAGAGGGTAAAGGCCTTGCTTTGGATTAGGCTTTGGCAATATTGTAACTAATTTCCTTTTCTATGCAGATTGCTCAAACTTTTTCTATATCAGCAATAAGGCTGTTTTACTTTCTTGTTATTCACGTGCTTACTGAAATAGCACTTTTAATGTCTTACAAGAACTTTTCCTTTGCCTTCACAACTTGGCCAACTGTCTGTCTCCAGAGGCCCAGCTTTCAGCCTATCTTGGCTTTAGACATGCCTTCCACAGTAAGCTTAATAATTTCTAGCTTTTGACTTAAAGTGAGAAGCATGTGATTCTTCCTTTGACTTGAACCTGTAGAGACCATTGTAGGGTTACTAATTTTAATATTATTGTGTCTCAAGGAATGTGGAGGTCTCATGAGGGAGAGATGGAAGAGCAGCCAGTTGGCGGAGCAGTCAGAACGCATACAACATTTATCAATTAAGTTCACTATCTTATAGAGCATGGTACATGGAGCCCTAAAACATTGACAATAGTAACATCACAGATCACTGATTACAGATCACCAAACAGATATAATAACAATGTAAAAGTTTGAAACATTGCAAGAATTACCAAAATGTGACACAGAGACACAAAATGAGCATATACTGCTGGAAAAAATGGTGCCTATAGACTTTCTTGACTCATGGTTGCCACAGGTTTGTAAAAAAATCACAATATCTGTGAAGCACGGTAAAGTTAATGAGAAAGAGAAAGAAACACACAGAGAGAGAGAGAAAGAGAGAGCATAAACCCCATTTTAGAAGCAACAGGAGTGATTAATATTTTAAGAGATCAAGGAGAATAGTAAAACTTTTCATCTTGCCAAGTGCATGTTTCCTCACAAATAATTGCCTTAAGGAGCTAAGTAACACATGTACAACCCAAATTTCTAGACCAAAAATTTGGTTGAATCCTGATTGAATTAGGGGAAGCCAAATATCTGTGAATCTTATATACATATAAGGTTTTTCTGTTTCTTGCACCTATCATTTCTTTGAAAATAATTATTTTTTAGGTTAAGTTTTCTTGTCTCCTTTATAGACACATCAAAAACACCAAGGAACCTCAGAATCCATTTCTTTAAACCACTGCCTTCTGGTATTTTTGGCCTTTACAGATTCTGATACATTGCAAAATCGAGACAAGATTTTAATATCATAAAGAGGAATAAGAATTTCCAGAGACTATTTAAAGGCATTGGTTGATGAAGTTTAGAGAAAGCTGTTATGTCATGGGTCTTATCTCCTTTGACCTGAAATGAAGTAGCTAAATAATTGTAATTGATATTACCATCTACTGAATCTAAAGTATAGCTAAGGTGACATTTTTCTACAACTTGCTTTCTTTGTTTTTTGTTAAAAATTATTTAAATTCTAGGGAGTTGTAATGTGCTTTTCTCCTCACCAGACTGGAAGTATTTTGAGGTTAGAGGCAATTTGTTCGTTTTGTTCTTGAACAATCACTCCCCCACATTCCCTTTTTCCACACACACAATGCCAGTAAATTGCTTAATATATTAAAGGTATTTGATACAATTGTATTAATACAATACCTTCAATTCCACAAGATATACAATACAGAAATAACTGTTCTGAGAATAACAATTTTTAGATGGGTGGATCCACAAGAGCAGAATCAGTTTTTCCAAAATAATATAATGTGGTGGACTAAAGCTGCTATGTAAGCAGTTACATCAGTAGTGTATAGAAGACCTGCTCTAAGCTGGTGGAGAGTAAGAAAGCTGGGACTTCATTATTCAAGGTTTATTCAGTTTAGAAGGGAAAATAATTAGCAAGTCAAAAGGGAAAGGAGGGAGGGCAAATGTGGAATCAAGAAGGAGCCTTGTGAAATGAGAAATGCTTGAGGTGATGGATACCTTATTTACCCTGCTGTGATTATTATGCATTTTATGCATGTATCAAAATAACTCATGTACTCCATAAATATATACACCTACTTTGTACCCATATAAATTAAAAAAATATATTTTTAAAAATGAGCTTTGTCTTAGTAAGGGTCCATTTCTAAACTGATTTCATATGTGTCACTTCAGGTAGAGTTTCCTAGCACCCTAGATACTTTATTTTTCTCTATTGGGTGTATCTAGCTCTGAATTTCTTTCTGACTATAGTGAAGAAAGCACTGATGGTCAAGGCAAATTAAAGGCTGTGAACTAATCGCTCCAATTTGCCAAACACATATGGGTCTTGTCAAGCTATGTCTCACCAAGAGATAAGTCTCGTTTGGAGATGTTGCTACGTGTGTGTGGGAGGGGTGGGGGGTAGTGGGCATGTGCATGCACGTCTATGTGTTTGTGTTTGTGAAAGACAGACACAGAGGAGACAGAAAGATACAGTGAGTGATAGAGGCTCCTTTTTCCCCCAAATAAGTCCAGACAATGCATATGCAAATAGACCCACCCTTACTCTGCCATGGGGTAATCAATCATCTTGAGGGAATATGTAGGAAAGGGAACCAGGCAGTTGGTCTGGGTTTTGGCCTTGGATTTGGCAAGGAATAAATCCATAAAGGGCCTTTGACTGTCTTTGTTAAATTTCAAGGTTTTTAAAAATGTGCTATAGTAACCTTCTTCCTGCCAGAGATTACCATTATACTTTTACACCCATGCCCCATGGCAGGAAGGGAATATTTCTTTGAGATTCCCTCTGCATTGCTTCTTCTTTTGATATGGGAGATGCACTGTTTCTGGCAATGCATAAGCTGTACCATAACAACCGTTGCCATTTTTGTTCTCTGGGTAGATTTAGTTAGGTTGACAATGTTTCAAATTCTACCTATATTCTTTTCCCATGTACATTTATTTCTGGCCTTCTAAATAGGGGGAAAATGTTGACACCCAGGTGGGTCTAGTGTGATGTTACAGGCACATATTTATAAAATCCGGCATCTTTTCTCATGTATTTTATAGCTACAGTCCAGAAGTTCCAATGGAACTTTGGGAGTATTATTTGATTGGTGGAGGAGGGTGTGTCAGGTTAAAACTGAGAATATGGAGACAGAGTACTTCACATTTTATGTATAAGTTTCTCATGGGAATAGTACATTATGATTAGTGTAAACAGCAATTGTGACACCACTTGACTATGCTTATGGGAGAGCACCTGCCAGGTTAACAGATCAGGATTTTTTTCAAGGGCAAAGATTGTGATAATCAAGATGATTGGCCAGAGATAAAATTATGCAATGATGTCAGGGGGCAAGATGGTGTAGCAGAAGAGGACGAAGACTGAGAGTCAGAACTCTGGGTTCTGTTTCAGACTCTGACACTGATTTATTAGATAATGCAGATTTAATTACTTAACTTCTCTGAGCTTCAAATTCTTTATTGGCAAAATGAAATAGCGGGACTGGATAATTACCACGGACCTCTTCAGCTTTGATATTATACAATTATCTGAATACTAATGAAAGTTTTCTCTTCCCATGTTTTTACTATACCACAAACCTGTGAGGTAATGCTATGTAAGAGCTTGCTTTGGGATCTCATAACTAAAAAACAGGTTAGGTGGACAAAGGCTCTTTTGTTGGTCTGACATTTAAAGAGAACAAATGTCTTCTTACTAAACAATTTCCAATATATAGGCTAAAAGCCCAAAAGGGATCAATCCTTAAACATGGCCAGTCAGATCATTATATATCTGAAAAAGCCAAGTACCCTAATTGAAGGCACTGTCCTCTAGTCTAAAATCAAAACTCCATGTCTATTAAGAAAGAATAGGAAAGGATGGAAAATAAACACAACAAAAAGCTTCAGTTTTAAAAAATTTGTCATTGACTATTCCTAAACCTTTATTCAATACATGCTTCACAGTCATCATCATAGTTCAGAACCTAATCTCATTATATTTCCATCATTCCACCAGTCTTCTTGCTATCCTTTATTTTGCTATTTATTCTTTTTTCTCTGTCCTGTGTCACACTACCAAACAAATCTTCCCAAAGCTTTATTTGCATGATTCCACCCGCCACTGGTCAAGGATATCCATTAATTGACTTGTAAATCAAATCAAAATTCCTCCATTCAGTAAATATGACCATTCCTTAACATGTTACCATATTTGCATTAACCTCATCATATTCCTTCTGAACATAACTCTCTGTTCTGGCCAGATTTGCTTCATTATTATATTTTGTTTACTAGTGTCTCCATGTTTTTCTTAACAGAATCTGTGCTTCATTTTTGGAATATTTTCTCTGCTGATCCATTGGAACCACATCTTTCAAAACCTAGCTTCTAACTCTTTATGTTTAAGAAGCGTTTCTTATGTTTTTAATTGACAAATGATAATTGTATATATTTATGGGGTGTATAGTAAGTTTCAATACATACAATGTATAGTGATCAAATCAGGTTAGTTAACATGTTTATCACCTCAATCACTTATCATTGGTTTATGTTGTGAACATTCAAAATCCTCTTTTCTAGCTACTTAAAACATATAATAAATGATTTTTATTATAGTCACCCTACAGTGCTATACAACACTAGAACTTATACCTCCTATCCAGATGTAATTTTGTATCCTTTAACTAATCTTTCCCTATCCCATGTACCCTTCCCAGCCTCTAGTAACCATTATTCTAGTCTCTACTTCTATGAGATGAATATTTTTAGCCTCTGCACATCCATTCACACCCAGATTACTCTACTGATATCTGTTGACTTGCCAGAACTGTCTTAAATTATTTTAATAGTTCTTTTCTTAAGTATTACATATTCACTGAAAACACTACAAGAAATACTGATAAGCAAAAATAAGAAAATTTAAGAGTAGTCCACACTCTACAAGAGGAGTCCTCAAACTATAGAGTGCAGAAGAATCACTGGGGTACTTGTTATAACTTGAGAATCCCAGGCTTCATCCTCAGATTTTTTGATTCAGTAATTTTTTGATGGGACCTAGGAATCCAAATTCAAGTGCCTAGGTGGCTCTGATGTGAGTAATCTCCAGACCATACTATGGGAAACACTGCTTATGTCAGGGGTCTCTATTATACTTCTTCAGAGAATTTATTACTGCTGTAAGTTACATAAAAAAGGGCCATATCGTCTTGTTCACCACTATATATTACAGGGTTTTGTAGGTGCTTGAAAATACCTCATGAAGGTATGAGTGAATTTGTTTTTAATAATATTTTTATTTTATCAAATTGCAACAGTGATTCATGCTTGTGTGAATAAATGAAAAATAAAATGAAAAAAATAGAGCACAAAGTTATAAAAATAAGCAAAACCTGTTATCTATTTTACACCTTTCATTTTCCTCCCTGACACTGAAATAATTAGTGAAAACCTGATTTATATACTAGCCCACATTTTCCTAACCGGATGAATTTGCCAACTTATGGAATAATGGAAGTAATTACACAACTGGAAATAATAACTATTCACATCTTCACATATTTCTTTGAATCCTAGAGTGTTAAATATAGCAAGAAATTCAGAGAACCTAAAAATGACTGCCATTATTTAAATAGATTTTAAAAACTTGAGGTTTATAAAGGAAAAATGGTAACTTTGATGTATATGTGAATGAAGACTCATCAGGATTTAGATTAGATATGTCAGACAAGAGCAATGAGGAAGAGGAATGAAAAATAATTTTAAGGCTGTCAATCTAATATAACAGGTGAATGATGGTGTTGATGGTGTCAATGGTGTTAAAAGTCAGAGTGCTGTCTGGGGGGTAAAGCGAATTTCTCTTTTGACAAGTTAAATTTCAACTGTCAGAAATTCATAAGAAAGGGATTTATTAAGAGTTTTACTGAAGTTGTCTTTGTAAATTGGATAACAGGGAGTGGTTGGGATTACAAATCAAACATTTTCGTTCTATTTCTGCCACTAACTGTCCATGAAGTTCTGGAAAGTTATAGTTTCTCTGACTCTCAAGTTTTCTCATCTGCACATACAGACAATAAATCTACATATCATACAAAGTACTGTGGGAACATAGAAAAATGTATGTGAACACATATGGTGATGTAAAAGTTGCTCATAATTGAATTAAGTGCTCAGTTGAGCCTGAATGTACGTGAAAGCATTTTGAATTTAAAAAAAACTGTTATACGGAAATTTTGATGAGTATTATTTTTACTATTACTTTTGAATACCCATATAGTGTTATACTAATAACCATATGAAATGACCTGAAAAGATAATTGTGGCCTTTTGAGATATTTAATGCTATCACCCAACCCTAACTACCTACATCATTGCCAAGAAATGCCTACATTTAACATCTAGGAAGACTTTGTCAATTCCTATTTGTTTATGTGTGTGTGTGTGAGTGTGTGTGTGTGCATGTGTCTGGAGTCTCCAATAATTCTTCAGGAATAAAAATCCAGTCTTTCTCACTTAGTTTTACTTCAGATAACTTCTTTCCCTGGGCCCTGGGCCCTTTGCAAATGTAAGGATATTCTGTGCTACTTCTTAAACTGCTGTTATAAAAAAGGTTTATGTGTTTGACAAAGTTGGAGAGGTATTATTGTATCATGTTTTAATAAGCCATATTCACCTGGGTTTTTTCTACCTAAACAAATAGTAATTCAACACAATGAATCCTTATTGTTCCATATGACAACTTTCCTTTTTTGGTTTTCTTACCCCTCCCAAAACCATCTTGAATGACTTGAGTCTAAGTGGGGCATTGTAACTCAGAGGTGTGTTCTCAGTTTCACCTTTTTTTCAGACTTCTTTCTCCTCCTCTCTTTTAGCAAACATTCTCACAAATATACCCTCTATCACCAGCAGTGGCATAACTAACAATAAGGAAATGACTTGTACTATTCTATGGGTCTCTATGTTCAGTTCAGTCAGAACTTGCTGAGTAACTACTATGTGCAAGGCCATTTGCTAGGCTGTATAAAGTGACACACAGAAAATAAAGTAGCATTGTTAAACATCTATTATGTGCTAGGCACTCTGCTAGAGGATTTTCCTAAAAACTCTGTGATATAAGTACAGTTAACTTCAGTTTTCTGATGAGAAAACTAAGACTCATGGAAGTCCAAAGTTTCTGCCTCTAAGACATGTCCAAGGTCCGTGACATCAAGACATCAGTTGTGGTTGGACAAAGGTCATAAACATAAACAGTTTACAAATATGAAATAATAATATGAGGAGGTGTAAAATTCTGGTTTTAGGAAATCAGAGACATGGAAAACCCTTTTATGAGCTTTAGTAATTGGGAAAGGCTTAAAGGAGAAATTATAGCTGAGTTGAGCATTGAGAAATGTGTAAAATTTGGACAGTTGTAATAGCAAGAGAAGGTGCCCCAAAAAGGAAGAAAAGAGTGGTGAGAGTTGACGTGTGTTCAATGAGAAAACCAACACAACACGACCGGATCAGATTCATCTTCTTGGAGAGAAATAGAAAGGAACCACATTTTGGAGGACTTTAAAATTCTTCTGACAATCGGGAGAGCAATCAACGTAGGTTTTCAATCAGGTTTGAATAGTAATTTATTCGGTAATTACTTCTTGAGAGCCAACTATGTGTAAGGCACTGTGACATGATGAAAGCAGGGAAGATTAAATCTGATGCAGTATGGTGGATATATAGAGCAAAGAGACAGGTGATTAGGAGATAATTTAGAATTATATTGCCATAATTCAATCATGAATTGATTTAAAAATGTTACCTAGGATATAAGTGTCAAGAAAAAAGGAAAGAATGAATTTCAGGTACATTTTGAAAGAAGAATAGATAGGACTCGGTCACTCTGTATGCTGTAGGAGGGATAGTGGCAGGGAAGGAACAGGTAGTGTTAACAGCATCTCCAAGTTTTCAAGTTTGGGTGATGAGAAGATGTCACAGATAAAAACAGACACCTTGGGAATGTATACTAGTTTAGAAGCATGGTATGGGGAGATTAAAAATGGATTCTAGGAATGTATTTTAAGTGTAAGTGGATCTTCTCAATGGATATATCTGGCAAGTAGATGATGCTGGAGTACTAAAAGAGATAGAGGCACTATGCCTAGCTCAGGCCATGGGCTCTTAAAGATCAGAGTTACCAATGTGATTACCACATACTACTATAATGCTTCCAGGTGAGAATGTTGCCAGTTATTATTGAGCATAGGTCTCTTGCCTCAGTGTTAGTCTAATCAGGATTCAACTGCAAACAACTACAGTATCCTTCTGCAGTTCATATGCATATACCCACAATCCTTCTCTCCCTTTACTTTGTGCTCCAGGTCAAGAATTCAAAAAGTAAGAACATTTAACATGAATCTACCCTTTCATATTTTTAAGAGTACAATACAGTATTGTTAACTATAGGCACAATGTTCTATAGCAGTTCTCTAGAATTTACCCATTTTGCATAGCTAAAATGCTATTCCTATTCAATTACAACTCCTCATATACCCTCCTACCCGTCCCTTGAAACCACCACTCTACATTCTGTTTCTGAGATTGATTATTTCAGACACAATGAATAAGTGAAATCAATGTTTTTACAAAAACAAAACAAAGCAAAACAAAAAAAAAAGAAACAGAGAGAGAGAGAGAATACTATGTCAAGTTTGAAAACTTCTTTGAGTCAACTTAAACTCCCTACTGGCCAGATTAAAGGAATTTGAGCAACACTATGAAAAATAACAAGAAGTGAATAGAAATGCATCAAATACGTTAAAATGCATGACTTCATAAGGATACTTAAACAAAACAAAACAAAATAACAAAAAAGCCCATAATCTCATTACATTGACATCTTATGTTTTCTTTTTTTTCTTTTATTATACATTAAATTCTGGGGTGCATGTGCACAACGTGCAGGTTTGTTACATAGGTATACATGCATCATGTTGCGGTGCTGCACCCACTCACTCATCATTTACATTAGGTATATCTCCTAATGCTATCCCTCCCCACTCCCTTCACCCCACAACAGGCCCTGGTGTGTGATGTTCCCCTTCCTGTGTCCAAGTGTTCTCATTGTTCAATTCCCACCTATGAGTGAGAACCTGCGGTGTTTAGTTTTTTGTCCTTGCAATAGTTTGCTGAGAATGATGGTTTCCAACTTCATCCATGTCCCTACAGAGGACATGAACTCATCCTTTTTATGGCTGCATAGTATTCCATGGTGTATATGTGACACATTTTCTTAATCCAGTCTATCATTGATGGACATTTGGGTTGGTTCCAAGTCTTTGCTACTGTGAATAGTGCCGCAGTACACATACGTGTGCATGTATCTTTATAACAGCATGATTTTTAATCCTTTGGGTATATACCCAGTAATGGGATGGCTGGGACAAATGGTATTTCTAGTTCTAGATCCTTGAAGAATTGTCACACTGACTTCCACAATGGTTGAACTAGTTTACAGTCCCACCAACAGTGTAAAAGTGTTCCTATTTCTCCACATCCTCTCCAGCACCTGTTGTTTCCTGACTTTTTAATGATCCCCATTCTAACTGGTGTGAGATAGTATCTCATCGTGGTTTTGATTTGCATTTATCTGATGGCCAGTGATGATGAGCATTTTTTCATGTGTCTGTTGGATGCATAAATGTCTTCTTTTGAGAAGTTTCTCTTCATATCCTTTGCCCACTTTTTGATGGGGTTGTTGGTTTTGTTCCTGTAAATTTGTTTGAGTTCTTTGTAGATTCTGGATACTAGCCCTTTGCCAGATGAGTAGATTGCAAAAATTTTCTCCCATTCTGTAGGTTGCCTGTTCACTCTGATGGTAGTTTCTTTTGCTGTGCAGAAGCTCTTTGGTTTAATTAAATCCCATTTGTCAATTTTGGCTTTTGTTGGCATTGCTTTTGGTGTTTTAGACATGAAGTCCTTGCCCATGCCTATGTCCTGAATGGTATTGCCTAGGTTTTCTTCTAGGGTTTTTATGGTTTTAGTTCTAACATTTAAGTCTTTAATCCATCTTGAATTAATTTTTGTATAAGTTGTAAGGAAGGGATCCAGTTTCAGCTTTCTACATATGGCTAGCCAGTTTTCCCAGCACGATCTATTCAATAGGGAATCCTTTCCCCATTTCCTGTTTTTGTCAGGTGTGTCAAAGATCAGATGGTTGTAGATGTGTGGTATTATTTCTGAGGGCTCTGCTCTGTTCCGTTGGTCTATATCTCTGTTTTGGTACCAGTACCATGCTGTTTTGGTTACTGTAGCCTTGTAGTATAGTTTGAAGTCAGGTAGCATGATGCCTCCAGCTTTGTTCTTTTGGGTTAGGATTGTCTTGGCAATGCTGGCCCTTTTTGGTTCCATGTGAACTTTAAAGTAGTTTTTTCCAATTCTGTGAAGAAAGTGGATAGTAGCTTGATGGGGATGGCACTGAATACATAAATTACCTTGGGCAGTATGGCCATTTTCATGATATTGATTCTTCCTATCCATGAGCATGGAATGTTCTTCCATTTGTTTCTGTCCTTTTTTATTTCATTGAGCAGTGGTCTGTAGTTCTCCTTGAAGAGGTCCTTCACATCCCTTGTAAGTTGGATTCCTAGGTATTTTATTCTCTTTGTAGCAATTGTGAATGGGAGTTCACTCATGATTTGGCTCTCTGCTTGTCTGTTATTGGTGCATAAGAATGCTTGTGATTTTTGCACATTGATTTTGTATCCTGAGACTGCTGAAGTTGCTTATTAGCTTAAGGAAATTTTGGGCTGAGATGATGGGGTTTTCTAAATATACAATCCTGTCATCTGCAAACAGGGACAATTTCACTTCCTCTTTTCCTAATTGAATAACCTTTATTTCTTTCTCCTGCTTGATTGCCCTGGCCAGAACTTCCAACACTATGTTGAATAGGAGTGGTGAGAGAGGGCATCCCTGTCTTGTGCCAGTTTTCAAAGGGAATGCTTCCAGTTTTTGTCCATTCAGTAAGATATTGGCTGTGGGTTTGTCATAAATAGCTCTTATTATTTTGAGATACGTCCCATCAATACCTAATTTATTGAGTTTTTAGCATGAAGGGCTGTTGAATTTTATCAAAGGCCTTTCCTGCATCTATTGAGATAATCATGTGGTTTTGGTCTTTGGTTCTGTTTATATGCTGGATTATGTTTATTGATTTGCGTATGTTGAATCAGCCTTGCATCCCAGGGATGAAGCCCACTTGATCATGGTAGATAAGCTTTTTGATGTGCTGCTGGATTCGGTTTGCCAGTATTTTATTGAGGATTTTTGCATCAATGTTCATTAAGGATATTGGTCTAAAATTTCTTTTTTGGTTGTGTCTCTGCCAGGCTTTGGTATTAGGATGATGCTGGCCTCATAAAATGAGTTAGGGAGGATTCCCTCTTTTTCTATTGATTGGAATAGTTTCAGAAGGAATGGTACCAGCTCCTCCTTGTACCTCTGATAGAATTCGGCTGTAAATCCATCTGGTCCTGGACTTTTTTTGGTTGGTAGGCTATTAATTATTGCCACAATTTCAGAGCCTGTTATTGGTCTATTCAGGGATTCAACTTCTTCCTGGTTTAGTCTTGGGAGGGTGTATGTGTCCAGGAATTTATCCATTTCTTCTAGATTTTCTAGTTTATTTGCGTAGAGGTGTTTATAGTATTCTCTGATGGTAGTTTGTATTTCTGTGGGATCGGTGGTGATATCCCCTTTATCATTTTTTATTGCGTCTATTTGATTCTTCTCTCTTTTCTTCTTTATTAGTCTTGCTAGCAGTCTGTCAATTTGTTGATCTTTGCAAAAAACCAGCTCCTGGATTCATTGATTTTTTGATTGGTTTTTTGTGTCTCTATCTCCTTCAGTTCTGCTCTGATCTTAGCTATTTCTTGCCTTCTGCTAGCTTTTGAATGTGTTTGCTCTTGCTTCTCTAGTTCTTTTAATTGTGATGTTAGGGTGTCAATTTTGGATCTTTCCTGCTTTCTCTTGTATGCATTTAGTGCTCTAAATTTCCCTCTACACAGTGCTTTAAATGTGTCCCAGAGATTCTGGTGTGTTGTGTCTTTGTTCTCATTGGTTTCAAAGAACATCTTTATTTCTGCCTTCATTTCGTTATGTACCCAGTAGTCATTCAGGAGCAGGTTGTTCAGTTTCCATGTAGTTGAACGGTTTTGAGTGAGTTTCTTAATCCTGAGTTCTAGTTTGATTGCACTGTGGTCTGAGAGACAGTTTGTTATAATTTCTGTTCTTTTACATTTGCTGAGGAGTTCTTTACTTCCAACTATATGGTCAATTTTGGAATAAGTGCGATATGGTGCTGAGAAAAATGTATATTCTGTTGATTTGGGGTGGAGATTTCTGTAGATGTCTATTAGGTCCGCTTGGTGCAGAGCTAAATTCAATTCCTGGATATCCTTGTTAATTTTCTGTCTCGTTAATCTGTCTAATGTTGACAGTGGGGTTTTAAAGTCTCCCATTATTATTGTGTGGGAGTCTAAGTCTCTTTGTAGTTCTCCAAGGACTTGCTTTATGAATCTGGTGCTCCTTTATTGGGTGCATATATATTTAGGATAGTTAGCTCTTCTTGTTGAATTGATCCCTTTACCATTACGTAATGGCCTTCTTTGTCTCTTTTGATCTTTGTTGGTTTCAAGTCTGTTTTATCAGAGACTAGGATTGCAACCCCTTCCTTTTTTGGTTTTCCATTTGCTTGGTAGATCTTCCTCCATGCTTTTATTTTGAGCCTATGTGTGTCTCTGCATGTGAGATGGGTCTCCTGAATACAGCACACTGAAGGGTCTTGACTCTTTATCCAATTTGCCAGTCTGTATCTTTTAATTGGGGCATTTAGCCCATTTACATTTAAGGTTAATATTGTAATGTGTGAATTTTATCCTATCATTATGATGTTAGCTGGTTATTTTGCTCGTTAGTTGATGCAGTTTCATCGTAGCATCAGTGGTCTTTACAATTTGCCATGTTTTTGTAGTGGCTGGTACCGGTTGTTCCTTTCCATGTTTACTGTTTCCTTCAAGGTCTCTTGTAGGGCAGGCCTTGTGGTGACACAATCTCTCAGCATTTGCTTGTCTGTAAAGGATTTTATTTCTCCTTCACTTATGAAGCTTAGTTTGGCTGGATATGAAATTCTGGGTTGAAAATTCTTTTCTTTAAGAATGTTGAATATTGGCCCCCACTCTCTTCTGGCTTGTAGAGTTTCTTCTGAGAGATCCGCTGTTAGTCTGATGGGTTTCCCTTTGTGGGTAACCTGACCTTTCTCTCTGGCTGCCCTTAACATTTTTTCCTTCATTTCAACTTTGGTGAATCTGACAATTATGTGTCTTGGAGTTGCTCTTCTCAAGGAGTATCTTTGTGGCATTCTCTGTATTTCCTGAATTTGAAAGTTGGCCTGCCTTGCTAGGTTGGGGAAGTTCTCCTGGATAATACCCTGAATAGTGTTTTCCAACTTGGTTCCATTCTCCCCGTCACTTTCAGTTACAATGATCAGACACAGATTTGATATTTTCACATAGTCCCATATTTCTTGGAGGCTTTGTTCATTACTTTTTACTCTTTTTTCTCTAAACTTCTCTTCTCGCTTCATTTCATTCATTTGATCTTCAATCACTGATACCTTTTCTTCCAGTTGATCAAATCAGCTACTGAAGCTTGTGCATTCGTCATGTAGTTCTCGTGCCATGGTTTTCAGCTCCATCAGGTCATTTAAGGACTTCTCTACACTGTTTACTCTAGTTAGCCATTTGTCTAATCTTTTTTCAAGGCTTTTAGCTTTTTTGCGATGGGTTTGAACTTCCTGCTTTAGCTCAGAGAAGCTTGATCATCTGAAGCCTTCTTCTCTCAACTCGTCAAAGTCATTCTCCGTCCAGCTTTGTTCCATTGCTGGTGAGGAGCTGTGTTCCTTTGGAGGGGGAGATGTGCTCTGATTTTTAGAATTTTCAGCTTTTCTGCTCTGTTTTTTCCCCATCTTTGTGGTTTTATCTACCTTTGATCTTTGATGATGGTGACGTACAGATGAGGTTTTGGTGTGGATGTCCTTTCTGTTTGTTTGTTTTCCTTCTAACAGTCAGGACCCTCAGCTGCAGATCTGTTGGGGTTTTCTGGAGGTCCACTCCAGACCCCATTTGCCTGGGTATCAACAGTGGAGGCTGCAGAACAGTGAATATTGCTGAACAGCAAATGTTGCTGCCTGATTGTTCCTCTAGAAGCTTCATCTCAGAGGAGTACCCGGCCACGTGAGGTGTCAGTCTGCCCCTACTGGATGGTGCCTCCCAGTTAGGCTACTCAGAGGTCAGGGACCCACCTGAGGAGGCAGTCTGTCCATTCTCAGATCTCAAACTCTGTGCTGGGAGAGCCACTACTCTCTTCAAAGCTGTCAGACAGGGACATTTAAGTCTGCAGAGGTTTCTGTTGCCTTTTGTTTGGCTATGCCCTGCCCCCACAGGTGGAGTCTACAGAGGCAGGCAGGCCTCCTTGAGCTGCGGTGGGCTCCACCCAGTTCGAGCTTCCTGGCTGCTTTGTTTACCTACTCAAGTCTCAGCAATGGTGGGCGCCCCTCCCCCAGCCTCACTGCCACCTTGCAGTTCGATCTCAGACTGCTGTGCTAGCAATGAGCAAGGCTCCATGGGCGTGGGACCCTCCAAACCAGGCATGGGATATAATCTCCTGGTATGCCATTTGCTAAGACCGTTGGAAAAGCACAGTATTAGGGTAGGAGTGACCCGATTTTCCAGGTATCATCTGTCACCGCTTCCCTTGGCTAGGAAAGGGAATTTCCTGACCACTTGCCCTTCCCCGGTGAGGTGATGCCTCACCCTGCTTTGGCTCACACTCTGTGGGCTGCACCCACTGTCCTGCACCCACTCTCCTGCCCCCACTGTCTGACACGCCCCAGTGAGATGAACCCGGTACCTCAGTTGGAAATGCAGAAATCCCCCATCTTCTGTGTTGCTCACGCTGGGAGCTGTAGACTGGAGCTGTTCCTATTCGGCTGTCTTCCTTATGTTTTCTTTTTAAACACATCTACATCATGGCTCAAAGCATAATTGACAATTTAGATTATAGCCTACTGTACCATTTACACATTTTAGTAACTAAAGTACATCATATACTCTATGAGGCAGAATGCCATCTGTTGAGCCATTTTTCTAATAAGAATTGTGCACCCATGCATTTGTTGTCTACAATTAAGAAATTAAATTTTCTAATATTTGCAAAAATAGAGTACTGTGAACTCATCACAAACAGCAATTCTTTATTTCTTAGAGAGGAGACAATATAGTGTAGTAGAAAGAGTACTGATACAGGGTCCAGAAGTCTGAACTCTATGCCTTGGTCTGCTATTTTAATAGTATATTGTTTGGGAGAAGACTTTCTCAGCCAGGGGCAAGTTTTATGATCCTTTCCAGTTCTAACATTTTCCAATCTAATGAAAATTATCTCTGAACAATACTTTCAGTTCACTGCAGTGTGTTTGTCTATTTGAGAAAAAAAGCTTTTGTGGGATACCCACAAGTGTGGATTTTAATAATTTCTATTATGGCTTGTTAATTTTTGTTCATACATACACATATAATGTTCTTAGCTTAATTTTACCAAGTTGATCAACTAATCCAATTACTTATTATTCTATTTAATAAGAAAGAAATAATGTGAGAATAGAGCCCATTGGTTTTTGCATACTTGTCTTCTATTTATATATGGGAGTAAAATGTTATGCAACAGCCAGGCAATCTTTATTGACAAAACATTTTTGGCACTTAGGATTGTTTTTTCTTTGATATTATATACTTCAGCTAATGGACTCAACATGGCCACTTCTAAATTGCCTTGATAAAATGTGTCATTGAGAAAGAAAAGAGAAAAAAAGCATTGATATGTGGCAATTTTGTACCTTTATGAAGCCTCCATAATATGGAAAAATGGATGGTAGTGTGAATGGCAATCTGCTTCCACAGTGCAAATGGAGAGTTTACTGCCAATCTTAACATTTAATTTATATTATATGAACCAAATGAGAATGCGTTCATAGATGATAAAGCATTGGGATAATTTTTTAATATGTTCTAAAATTCCTGGTAATTATCAAGCCCTGATCATTAAAATAATGCTGTCGATCCTAGACAAGTCCAGATATCAAGAGAGTGAAACATATGACTGCCTATTTCTATAGCCTTCTATTTTGTGTATTTATATTTCATTCGATAAATGGTTATTGAATGTCTACTGCTATAGTACTTTTGTTTTTGCTGTGTGAATTGGAAATTCCATTGTAGAACATATGCAGCTGTCTCTAAATTCAAAAGAGGTATCTCAGAGTGGAGAAATCAATGGCAATTGGTAGAAAGAATCAGCCCACAACTCAGTGCTTCACTAGGTAAGTCTTACTGAGACAGAATTCGCAGTAGTTATCTGAGCTCAGTAGGCAAAGTTGGGGAAAAATTTGGTGTCAAGATGTCAGTCAGTGGAATTATGAAGCAGATGAGCCAGAATCAAGGAGTATGGAGATCTTGTGAAAAGTAGGGCAGTAACAGCTGTAGTGTTAGAATAAAATAATATCTGATAAACTTCTTCCACCTATACTCTTTCTGGGTAATCTCATATAGTCTTATGGTTTTAAACATCATTTATACTTTGATGACTACCAGATTAATATACCCAGCCGGTATCTCTCCTCTTGTCGTCAAACTGCTGTACCCAATTGTCCACTTGACATTTCCACTTGCTATCAAATTGATATACAAACTTAACATGGCCAGAGGAAGGAGGTGGAGCAAGATGGTGAAATGGAAAGCTCCGCTGATTGTCCCCTGCTGCAAGGACACCAAGTTAACAACTATCTACATGGAAAAAAACTTCGTAAGAGTCAAAAAAACCAGGTGAACACTCATAGTACTTTGTTTTAACTTCATATCCCTGAAAGAGGCACAGAAGAGATAAAGAAAACAATCTTAAATTGCTGATGCCACACCTCTGCCAGCCCCTGTAGCATCAGAATGGTGCTGAGAGCCTCTCTGGACACTGAGGGAGTGAGAAGACAGCAATTGTGAGGCATTGAACTCAATGCTGTCCTGTTAGAGCACACAGGAAAACCAGACCAAACTCAGCTGATGCACAGCCACAGGGAGACCATTTAAACCACCCCAAGCCAGAGAAGAATCATTCCTAGCTGTCTGAAACTTGAGTGCTCTCAAAACTTTCCACCAAGGGCCAAAGTTGTTTCCGTCTGAAAGTAAACTTAAAAAGGTATCTAGGCCATAAGAACTGCAACTCATAGGTGAGTCCTGTGGTTGAAAAAGTCCCAGAGACAGTAGACTTGGAGAACATGAAACATACAGAGACAGCAGCTGGGACAGCCAAGCGAATGCTGGCATCACCCCTCCCCTAAGCCTAGACCATACAGCTTGAGGCTCCAAAAAAAGCCCCTTCCTTCTGCTTGAGGAGAGGTGAGGAAGAGTGGGGAAGACTTTGTTTTGCATTTTGGATACCAGCTCAGCCACAGCAAGATAGGGCAGTGGTCAGGGTCATGAGGTCCATTTTCCAGACCCTAGCTCCCAGATGACATTCCTAGACACCTTGGGCCAGAAGGGAAGCAGCAGCCTTGAAGGAAATAACCCAGTCCTGCCAGCATTCATCATCTGCCTGCTAACTGAAGAGCCCTTGGGCCCTGAATAGCCAGCAGCAATAACTAGGTACTACACCGAGGGCTTTGGTGAGTGTCTGAGGCTTGCTGGCTTTAAGTGAGACTCAGTACATTACCAGCTGTGGTGGCTACGAGACAAAACTGCTTCAGAAAACCAGAGGGAAAAGTAAAGGGAGCTTTGTCTTGTACCTTAGGTATGAACACTGCCACAGAAGGGTAGAGCACCAAGCAGGCACTTGGGGCACCCAATTCCAGGACTAGACTCTTGAAAGGCATTTTGGGACCTGCTCTGAGCCAGAGGGGAGCCCACTACCCTGAACAGTGCATTCCAGACCAGGTAGCATTCACCACAAGCTGACTTAGGAGCCCTTGGATATTAAGGGAACATTGTCAGTAGTCTGGCAGTACTGCTCATGGCCAAGGGTGGTGGTCACTACAGGATGAGGCTCCTCTGCCTTTGGAAAGGGGAGGGAAGAGTGGGAAGGACTGTATCTTATGGCTTGAGTGTTAGCTCAGCTTCAATACAATAGAATACTATGTAGGCTTTTAAGGTTTTTGACTGTAGTCCCTCACTTCCCAAAACCACCTCTGGACCCACCTGGGGCCTGGGGACCTCACCACCCTGAAAGGAAGGACACAGACCTAGCTGGCTTTGCCATCTGCTGATTATAGAGGACTGAGGCCTTGAACAGCCATTGGCAGTAGCCAGGGAGTGGTTACAGTAGGCCTTGGGAAAGACCCTGTGCTGTGCTGGCTTCAAGTATGACCCAGTGCAGTCAGAGTGGTGGTGGCCACAGGGATGCTTGTGTTTTCCACTCCCAGCTTTAGGTGGCTCATAACAGAGACAGAGACTCTGTGTTTAGGAGAAAGTAAGGGAAAATAATGAGCCTCTGATAATCCAGAGAATTCCCCCAGATCTTAACCAAGAGCTTCAAGGTGGTACCTCTACAAGTCTGCAAGAACCACAGTGATAATTCAAAATAGCTGTATTGAGGAAACTCACAGAAATTCAAGGTAACACCAAGAAGGAATTCAGAATTCTATCAGATAAATTTAACAAAGAAATTGAAATAATTAAAAATAATCAAGCAGTTATTCTGAAGCTGAAAAATGCAACTGGTATACTGAAAAATGGATCAGAGTGAGTCCTTTAATAGTAGAATTGATCAAGCAGAAGAATTAGTGAACTTGAAGACAGGCAATCTGAAAATACACAGAGGAGGAAAAATAAGCAAATAATAAAAAACAATGAACCACATCTACAGGATCTAGAAAATAGCCTCAAAAGGGAAAATCTAAGAGTCACTGGCCTTAAAGAGGAAGTAGAGAAAGAGACAGGGGTAAAAAGTTTATTCAAAGAGATAATAACAGAGAACTTCCCAAACCCAGAGAAAGATATCAATATCTGGCCAGGCACGGTGGCTCACGCCTGTAATCCCAGCACTTTGGGAGGCCGAGGTGGGTGGATCACGAGGTCAAGAGATCAAGACCATCCTGGCCAACATGGTGAAACCCCGTCTCTACTAAAAATGCAAAAATTAGCCATGCATGGTGGCATGCGATTCTAGTCCCAGATGCTCGGGAAACTGAGGCAGGAGAATCGCTTGAACCCAGGAAACAGAGATTGCAGTGAGTCGAGATCATGCCACTGCACTCCAGCCTGGCGACAGAGCAAGACTCCGTCTTAAAAAAAAAAAAAAAAAGATATCAATAACTAAGTGACATGGTTTGGCTGTGTCCCCACTCAAATCTCATGTTGAATTGTATTCCACATAATCCCCACGTGTCGAGAGATGCCCAGTGGGAGGTAATTGGATCAGAGAGCCAGTTTTCCCCATGCTGTTCTTGTGATAGTGATTGAGTTCTCACAAGATCTGATGGTTTTATAAGTGTTTGACAGTTTCCCCTTCACATGCTCATATTCTCTCCTGCCACCTTGTGAAGAAGGTGCCTGCTTCTCCTTCTGCCATGATTATAAGTTTCCTGAGGCCTCCCCAACCTTGCAACACAGTGAGTCAGTTAAACCTCTTTCCTTTATAAATTACCCAGTCTTGGGTATTTCTTTATAGCAGTGTGAGAACGGACTAATATACAAAGTACAAGAAGGGTATAGAACACCAAGGAGATTTAAACCAAAGAAAACTGCCACAAAACATGTAGTAATCAAACTCCCAAAGGTCAAGGTTAAAGAAAGGATCCTAAAAGCAGCAAAAGAAGCAAAAGAAAATAAACGAATAACATGTAATGCAGCTCCAATATATCTGGCAGCAGACTCTTCAGTGGAAACCTTACAGGCCAGGAGAGAGTGGCATGACATATTTAAAGTACTAAAGGAAAAAAAAATTACTCTAGAATAGTATATTCAGTGAAAATACACTTTAAACACAAAGGATAAATAAAGACTTTCCCAGACAAACAAATGTTGAGAAATTTCATCAATACCAGACACATCCTAGGAGAAATGCTGAAAGGAGTACTTCAATCAGAAAGAAAATGACATTAATGAACAATAAATAATTATCTGAAGGGGCCAGGCACAGTGGCTCATGCCTGCAATTCCAGCACTTTGGGAGGCCGACGTGGGTGGATCACGAGGTCAGGAGATCGAGACCATCCTGGCCAACATGGTGAAATCTCGTCCTACTAAAATACAAAAAAATTAGCTGGGAGTGGTGGCACGCACTGGGAGTGGTGGCACACACCTGTAGTCCCAGCTACTTGGGAGGCTGAGGCAGGGGAATTGCTTGAACCCAGGAGGCGGAGGTTGCAGTGAGCTAAGATCGCTCCACTGCACTCCAGCCTGGCAACAGAGCAAGACTCCATCTCAAATAATAATAATAATAATAATAATAATAATAATAATAATAATAACAATTATCTGAAGGTACAAAACGTACTGATAATAGTAAGTACACAGAAAAACACAGAATATTATAACACTTTTACTGTGGTGATTAAACTACTCTTATCCTAAGTAGAAAGACTAAATGATGAACCAATGAAAAATAATAACTACAATAACTTTCCAAGACAGAGTCAGTACAGTTAAATATAAATAGAAACAATAAAAAGTTAAAAAGTGGGGGACAAAGTTAAGGTAAGTTTTTATTAGTTTTATTTTTACTTGTGTGTTTGTTTATGCAAGTAGTGCATAAAAGAAAAAGAAAACAACAAGCCAAAGTCTCTGATGAAAATTGATGAAAAAACGTGCAACAAAATACTAGTAATCACAATTCAACAATACATAGAAGGATTATACATCATGACCTAGTGAGATATATCACTGATATTCAAGGATGATTCAACATACACAATCAATCAATCAAACACATCATATTAACAGAATGAAGGATAAAAACTATATGATCATTTCAATTGATGCTGAAAAGGCGTTTAATAAAATAGCTTTAACAAACTGGGAATAGAAGGAACATACTTCAAAATAATAAAAGCCATATATGACAGGCCCACAGCTAGTATCATACTGAATGGCAAAATCTGAAAGCCTTTCCTTTACAATTTGGAACATGACAAAGATGCCCACTGTTAGCACTGTTATTCAACATAATACTGAAAGTCCTAGCTGGAGAAATCAGACAAAAGAAATACAAAGGCATCCAAATTGAAAAGGAAGATGTAAAATTATCTTTGTTTGCAGATGACATAATTTTGTATCTGGAAAAATCTAAGGACTCAACAAAAAAACCATGGGAACTGATAAACAAATTAATAAACTTGCAGGATACAAAATCTACATCCAAAAATAAGTAGCATTTCTATAAGCCAACAGTGAACAATGTGAAAAAGAAATAAAAAAGGAATCCCATTTAAAATAGCCACAGATAAAATTAAATACCTAGGAATTAACTTAACCAAAGAAGTGAAACATCTCTATAATAAAAACTATAGAACACAGATGAAAGAAATTGGAGAGGATACCAAAAAATGGAACACTTTTCCATGTTCATGGATTGAAAGAATCAATATTCCCCAGAGTGTGATGTTCCCCTTCCTGTGTCCATGTGTTCTCATTGTTCAGTTCCCCTCTATGAGTGAGAATATGCAGTGTTTGGTTTTTTGTTCTTGCAATAGTTTACTGAGAATGATGATTTCCAATTTCATCCATGTCCCTACAAAGGTCATGAACTCATCATTTTTTATGGCTGCAGAGTATTCCATGGTGTATATGTGCCACATTTTCTTAATCCAGTCTGTCATTGTTGGACATTTGGGTTGGTTCCAAGTCTTTGCTATTGTGAATAGTGCCACAATAAACATACGTGTGCATATGTCTTTATAGCAGCATGATTTATAGTCCTTTGGGTATATACCCAGTAATGAGATGGCTGGGTCAAATGGTATTTCTAGTTCTAGATCCCTGAGGAATCGCCACACTGACTTCCACAATGGTTGAACTAGTTTAGAGTCCCACCAACAGTGTAAAAGTGTTCCTATTTCTCCACATCCTCTCCAGCACCTTTTGTTTCCTGACTTTTTAATGATTGCCATTCTAACTGGTGTGAGATGGTATCTCATTGTGGTTTTGATTTGCATTTTTCTGATGCCAGTGATGGTGAGCATTTTTTCATGTGTTTTTTGGCTGCATAAATGTCTTCTTTTTTGAAGTGTCTGTTCATATCCTTTGCCCACTTTTTGATGGGGTTGTTTGTTTTTTTCTTGTAAATTTCTTTGAAATTTGTCTGTTGTGGGGTGGTGGGTGGGGAGGGATAGCTTTAGGAGATATACCTAATGCTAAATGATGAGTTAATGGGTGCAGCACACCAGTATGGCACATGTATACATATGTAACTAACCTGCACATTGTACACATGTACCCTAAAACTTAAAGTGTAATAATAATAAAATAAAAAAAAGAAAAAAAAGAAAGAATCAATATTGTTAAAATGTTTATACTACACAAAGCAGTCTGAAGATTCAATTCAATCCTTCTTAAAACACCAATGACATTCTTCACAAAAATATAAAAAGCTATCCCAAAATTTATATGAAACCACAAAATACCCAGAATAGCTAAAACTATCTTAAGAAAAAGAACAAAACTGGAGGAATTACATTAGCTGACTTAAAACTCTACTACAGAGCTATAGTAACTGAAACAGCATGGTACTGTCATAAAAACAGACACATAGACCAATGGATCAGAATACAGAACCCAGAAACGAATTCACACATCTACAGCAAACTCATTTCCATAAAGGTGCCAAAAACATACACTGGGGAAAAGAGAGTCTCTTCAATAAATGGTGCTGGGAAAACTATATATCCATAAGCAGAAAAATAAAAGTAGGCCCTTGTCTCTCACCATACACAAAAATCAACTCAAAATAAATTAACGCATTAAATCTAGAACCTCAAATCATGAAACTACTACAAGAAAACATTGGGAAATATCTTTAGGACATGGTCTGGGCAGAAATTTCTTGAGCAATATCCCACAAGCTCAGTCAATCAAAGCAAAAATGGACAAATAAGACCACAGCAAGTTAAAAAGTCTGCTCAGCAAAGGATACAATCAACAATGTGAAGAAACAACACACAGAATGGGAGAAAATATTTGCAATCTATCCATCTGACAAGAGATTAATCACCAGGATATATTAGGAGCTCAAACAACTCTATAGAAACAAATCTAATAATCCAATCAATAGATGGGCAAAAGATTTAAATAAATATATCTCAAAAGAAGACATACAAATGGTGAACAGGCATATGAAAAGGTGCTCAAAATCATTGATCATCAGAGAAATGCAAATCAAAACAACAGTGAAATATCATCTCGCCCCAGTTAAAATGGCTTGTATCCAAATTTCAGACAATAACAAACTCTGGCAAAGATGTGGAGAAAAGGAAACCCTTTTACACTGTTGGTGGGAATGTAAATTAGTACAAGCACTATGGGGAACGGTTTGGATCTGCCTCAAAAAAACTAAAAATAGAGCTTCCAATTTTTTTTTTTTTTTTTTTTGAGACGGAGTCTTGCTGTCGCCCAGGCTGGAGTGCAATGGTGCAATCTCGGCACACTGCAGGCTCCGCCCCCCAGGGTTCACACTATTCTCCTGCCTCAGCCTCCCGAGTAGCTGGGACTACAGGCGCCCGCCACCTCGCCCGGCTAATTTTTTGTATTTTTAGTAGAGACGGGGTTTCACCGTGTTAGCCAGGATGGTCTCGATCTCCTGACCTCGTGATCCGCCCACCTCGGCCTCCCAAAGTGCTGGGATTACAGGCGTGACCCACCGCTCCTGGCCCTTTCAAATGTTTTAGCAATACCTCTGATGGGTATATACCCAAAAGAAAGACTATCAATATATGGAAGAGATATCTGCACTGTTATGTATTTTGCAGCAGTGTTTACAATAGCTAAAATTTGGAAGCAAACTAAGTGTGCATCAACAGAATAACGGATAAGGAAAATGTGGTACATATACACAATGTAGTACCATTCAGCCCTCAAAAAATGAGATATAGTCATTTTCAACGACGTGGATGGAACTGGAAATCATGTTAAGTAAAATAATCCTGGCACACAAGGGCAAACATCACATGTTCTCATTTTTTTGTGAGATCTAAAAATCAAAACAATTGAACTAATAGAGGTAGAGGGTAGAAGAAAGATTACCATGGGCTTGGAAAGGTAGTCGGAGGCTTGGGGTAAGGTAGGGATGATAAATGGATACAACAAATAGAAAGAATGAATAAGACCTACTACTTGATGGCACAACATGGTGACTATAGTAAATAATAACTGTACATTTTAAAATAAATTGTCTAATTGGATTATTCACAATTCAGTGGATATATGCTTGAGGGGATGGATACCCCATTCTTCATTATGTACTTATTTTATATTGCATGTCTGTATCAAAACATGTTAAGTACCCCATAAATACATATACCTACTATATACCCACAATAAATAAAAATAAAAAAATTGAAAAATAGAAACTAGCATGGTACTCTGAGACATTACAAATGGGTTATTTGACTCTTGAGAATATTGCCTCATTTCTTCTCAGGCAATATTAGCCACTATTTTCTCTGTGTTCCCCTAACCTTCCCATGATCCTGTAGTATTTGGTACACATATGTTATTATATCATTTATCACATTACATTATAAGAACTTCTTCATGTGGCTGTATCTCTTAAAGAACAGTAAGCTCAGGCTTTGAAGTTAGACAGACATGGATTCAAATCTTGTTTCTTCCATTTGGATGTTATAACCTTGGGCAAATTACTTAACCTCTCTGAACTGCAGATTTCTCACCTGTAAAATGGGAATAATGATAAATTCCTTATAGTGTGGGTAAGAATTAAATCATATTATGTAAAGCAGCTACTGCAGCATTGGGAATAAGCTCTCTTCCTTATTGATCAGAGTCCTTTCACATCAATTTTTATTCCTTAAACAATGCTTAATTCATCGTAGCTTCTCAGTAAGTGCAATTTTTAATTAGATACATGCTGAATAAATTTTCAATACAGAATATCCCCACTTTTAGACAGAAAGTATTTCTGAAGATGTATACTAAAACATTATGTAAAAATTTAGACTGTATATGCAGTGCAATTTTATATTTTGTAGCAGCTAACTAACCCTGTTTCTAACAACACTACAAGATATTGTTGAATTCATAGGAAAAAAATTATTGTAAGGGGCTGATATTTTTTGAGAGCCCCAAATGAGAGGAGTGGAAACATTCAAAAGGGAGAAAGCTGCTGGCTGTATTTATTAATCAACAATTATCCAATTGTGTGCCAGGCAAAAGAAATGTAAGACATAATTTCTGCAGTTTGGAGCTTACAATCTATTTCAGAGGACTGACTCATGAAACAATTATAGCAATTAGGTGCAAAATTGTGTGGTGCTGGTTCTCAATGCAGCAGAAGTCCAGGAAAGGGAGGAATCAATGTGAGCCGCAGAATATCAGGAAAGGCTACTAAGTTAAGGCTTCAAATAAAAATGTGATTTTTCAGACTTAGGAAGAGAAATGCAGAAAATGAGAAATAATTTTAAGACCCTGATTGTGCCACTGTTCTTTGCTTTCCAATTCCATACCTGAAAAATGATATTGACTTATACCACACATACTTAAACTAAAATATTTTTTCTCATAGTTGACACAAAATGCTTCTTCACATGAGGCCTGCTATAAAGCATCACTAATTCATGATGCAAAAATAGAAAATAGTATTTTGCAGAATATATCATAAAATTAACCCTCATATAAGTGATTCATTGTTACATTATATTATGAAGTGTGATATTAATTATAAATTTTAAGACCTTACTTGCAGCCATGTAACTGTTTGATTGATTGTGATAGAGACCAAATTCCAATAATAGAACTATTTCAATTAAAAGGAGTGCACATTAAAAATATTAAATTGAACTACCAAGTTGCAAGTTTTATATTATTTATTATTATTTTTTATTATGCTTTAAGTTCTAGGGTACATGTGTAGAACGTGCAGTTTTGTTACATAGGTATACACGTGCCATGGTGGTTTGCTGCACACATCAACCCATTACCTACACTAGGTATTTCTCCTAATGTTATCCTTCCCCTTGCCTCCCACCCCCTGACAAGCCCCGGTGTGTGATGTTCCCCTCAAGTTTTATTTTAAAGACTAATTTTGACTTCTATTTTAAATCAAAGTCTTATTTTATATTTCTGTCGTCTTTGCACTTTTCTGTTTCTTATAAATTTTCTACTTTTACTGTTGTTAACTGTTTTTCACCAGTATAATTTTATGAAAACAGTAAGCATGGGGTGTTTTAATAATATATACATTTTAGAGAACTAGCATTCTTATTGTATGGTGGGTGTGTATTTATGTGTATAAGATTTAGGCAGGCTTAGATTATCATTGCTTCAAACTTTGATTAAAAACTAGTATAATACTACCTGTAAATGTGCCAGACTATGAATATGCAACATCTTTCCCATGTTATATGTCAATAGTCTGTGTTATAGGGTTGTCAATGATATGAAAAGAACAACCCCAAACCCCCAAAATGTACATTATTCTAGCACAGATAAGAAGATTACTGACTTGAAAAAATTATAGAATATAGAAATAAAGGATTATATTTGGGAAATATTCATTAATTATTCTTGAGAAATAGAATATGAGTCCTCCTGTGGATGGACAGATATTTTAGATGCAACTGATGAGGGCTCCAAATCCTTCATTTTATATAAACTGGGTTAATGGAAGGAAATGGATGACTGGGCAATCTAAAGCAATGAGCAATCCAGTGATCATTCCAATTTATCCTGTATTTTGTATGGGTATTTCTTTAGTGAGTAGATGGGTCCCTTGAAAGTTGAATGTGAATATATGCATATGCAAATGTGACAAACCTCATCTGATATAATTAGAGGATAATAATTTTCAAATGAGCTATTTTATAAACTAAATTTTTATTTAATAAATCAAAAAGAAAAATATATTACACATTTCTATATGAAGAGCAATGTGGTACGTGATGAACAATATATAGTCACTGTACAGTAGGAGTTTATAAGCTAGTGAGAAAGAATGTATACATACAAACTATCACAATAGAAATCAGACTGCAAGTGCAATCGCTGAGAATACAAAAACATTCTTCATATGACTTTCTTATATAGACCCCATAACAAAATACTCAAATGTAGCTCTATAAGGACATCTTTGAGGAAATTAACTACTTTGGTCTGGATAGGTAGCTTTCTGGTGCTCTAAATTACAATAAAAAATCCTAAAGGACTGAATCTTTAGTGTGTCCCTTAGACCGTCTCAAATATCAAAGCCTCAAGTAGGATTTGACAGACCATACACTATAACACAGTTCACTGTGGTGACTGCAAAAGGAACTTCTTAAATTACCAAGCACATTATTAAAGGTACAAAGTGCTATGAGAGCCTAATACGAGAGAAACAATAAGAAGGAACTTAGCTCTAGTGAAGGGTTTGGGTAAGATTTCACAAAGGGTTTAGTATTACTGAATTTTGGTGTGGCGTGTGAATATCACTTGACTGTAAGATGTGTGAGAGATCAGAAAGTATAATATAGCCAGGAGAAACTGAAGATATGCTAGTGTATTAGTCCGTTCTCTTCCTGCTACTACAAAATACTGTCCAAGACTGAGTAATTTATAACGGAAATAGGTTTAATTGACTTACAGTTCCACGTTGCTGGAGAGGCCTCAGGAAGCTTACAATCATGGTGGAAGGAAAAGGAGAAGCAGGCACCTTTTAGACAGAGGGGGAAGATAAAGAGAGTGCTGAGTGAAGAGTGAAGCCCCTTATAAAACCATCAGATCTTGTGAGAACTAACTCACTATCACAAGAACAGTACAGGGGAAACCACCCCCATAATTCGATTACCTCCACCTGTTCCTGCCCTTAACCTATGGGAATTATTGGAACTACAATTCATGATGAGATTTGGGTGGAGACACAGCTAAATCATATCATTCTGCTTCTGGCCCCTCCAAAATCTCATGTCTTCACATTTCAAAATACAATCATGCCTTAGTCTTAGCTCACTCCAGTATTAGCCAAAAATTCCAAGTCCAAAGCCTCATCTGAGACAAGGCAAATCTGTAAAATCAAAAGCATGTTAGTTACTTGCTAGATACAATGGGGATGCAGACATTGGGTAAATACACCTGCTCCAAATGGGAGAACTTGGCCAAGAAAAGGGGCTATAGGCCCCATGTAAGTCCAAAATCCAACAGGGGAGTCATTAAACCTTAAAGTTCCAAAATGAACTCTTTTGACTCCATGTCTCACATCCAGATCACACTGATGCAAGAGGTGGGCTCCCAGGGTCTTGGGCAGCTCCACTCCTGTGGCCTTGCAGGGTACAGTCCCCCTCCTGGCTCCTTTCTTGGGCTGGCATTGAGTGTCTGTAGCTTTTCAAGGTGCAGGGTGCAAACTGTTGGTGGATCTACCATCCTGGGGTCTGAAGAACATTGGCGCTTTTCTCACAGCTTCACTGGCAGTGTCCCAGTGGGAACTCTGTGTGGGGGCTCTGACCCCACATTTTCTTTCTGCACTGCCCTAGCAGAGGTTCTCCATGAGGGCTCTGCCTCTGTGGCCTTGCAGGGTACAGTCCCCCTCCTGGCTCCTTTCTTGGGCTGGCATTGAGTGTCTGTAGCTTTTCAAGGTGCAGGGTGCAAGCTGTTGGTGGATCTACCATCCTGGGGTTTGGAGAACATTGGCGCTTTTCTCACAGCTTCACTGGCAGTGTCCCAGTGGGAACTCTGTGTGGGGGCTCTGACCCCACATTTTCTTTCTGCACTGCCCTAGCAGAGGTTCTCCATGAGGGCTCCGCCTCTGTGGCAAACTTCTGCCTGGACATTCAAGTATTTCCATACATCCTTTGAAATCTAGTCAGAGGTTCCTGAACCTCAATTCTTGACTTCTGTGAACCTGCAGGCTCAACACCAGTTGGAAGCTGCTAAGGCTTGGGGCTTACACCCTCTGCCATGGCCTGAGCTGTACCTTGGCCCCTTTAGCCATGGCTGAAGCTGAAAGCAGCTGGGATGCAGGGCACCAAGCCCTCAGGCTGCACACAGCAGGGGTCCCTGGCCAGGAAATCATTTTTACCTCCTAGGCCTCCAGGCCTGTGTTGAGAGGGGCTGTTGCAAAGGCCTCTGACATGCCCTGGAGACATTTTCCCCATTGTCTAAGTCATTAGCACTGGCTACTCATTACTTATGCAAATGCAAATGTCTGCAGCAGGCTTGAATTTCTCCCCAGAAGATGGGTTTTTCTTTTCCACTGCATCATCAGGCTGTAAATTTTCCAGACTTTTATGCTCTGCTTCCCCTTGAATGCTTTGGCATTTAGAAATTTTTTCCACCAGTACCCGAAATTATCTCTCCCAAGTTGAAAGTTCCACAGATCTCTAGGACAAGGGCAAAATGCCACCAGTCTCTGCTAGCAAGAGTGACCTTTACTCCAGTTTCCAACAAGTTCTTCATCTTCATCTGGGACCACCTTGGCCTGGACTTCATTGTCCATATCACTATCAGCATTTTGGTCAAAGCCATTCAACAAGTCTCTAGGAAGTTCTTACCCTTCCCACATCTTCCTGTCTTCTGAGCCCTTCAATTTTCTAGAAAGTTCCAAACTTTCCCATATTTTCCTGTCTTCTTCTGGGCCCTCCAAACTGTTCCAACCTCTGCCTGTTACCCAGTTCCAAATTTGCTTTTACATTTTCAGGTATCCTTATAGCAGCACCCCACTCTCTGTGGTACCAATTTACTGTATTAGTCTGTTCTCATGCTGCTATAAAGAACTGCCCAAGACTGGGTGATTTATAAAGGAAAGAGGTTTAATTGACTCACTGTTCCTCATTGCTGGGGAGGCCTCAGGAAACTTACAATCAAGGCAGAAGGGGAAGGAGAAGCAGGCACCTTCTTCACAGGACAGGAGGATAAGGTGAGTGCTGAGAGAAAGGGGAAACCGCTTACGAAACCATCAGATCTCATGAGAACTAACTCACTATCATGAGAACAGTATGGGGGAAACCACTTACATGATTCAATTATCTCCACCTGGTTTGGCTCTTGACAGGTGGGGATTATTGGAACCACAATTCAAAAAGAGATTTGGGTGTGGCACAGCCAAACAATATCAGCTAGGAACCAGTTATGGAGGGTCTTCAATACTGCTGTAAGAAGATAGTGCTTTATGCTGTAGGGGATAGTCAAATTTGAGTATTAGGGTAACAAAAGTGGAGCCACATTTTTAGATTTTTGTTTTGTTTTGTTTTGTTTTGTTTTGTTTTTCGGCAGGCAATGTGAATACTGTATTGAAGTGGAAAGAAATTAACTGCATGGAAAACCATTTGGGCATTGTCATAGTCCAGGTGAGAAGTAGTGAGGGCCTGGACTATGTGAGTACACTTTTATAGGAGGGGACACATATAAGGATGATTGCAAAGATAAGACTAAAAGTGCTTGACAAGTATTTAGCTGTAGGGAAGAGAATAAAGACTACATAGTGGCTCTGGATTCCTGTGAAGATGGCAATGTCATTAACAGAGTTGGGGATGCAGGAAGATACATAAATGTGAAGAAAATATTCAATAGTTGATGTAAGATCGCAATACCAACAGGCATTCAGAAAGCATTTGGGAATATATATCTGTGTATAAAAATAGAAAGCACAAGGTGATGAGAGAAGAAAAAAACACCTATGGCTATTATTAGCAGAAATAATGGAAAAACACACTTCCCTCATTGGACAGTTTCTTTAGGATATTTTTAGGAGGCCAAAGGAGGGTAGAGGTAATTTTATTTGGCAACATGTTTGTCTTTCTGCTGCCAAAATAAAGTATGCTATTTCTAGAATATCTGTAGAGTTTTATACTTTTCATCTAAAAAATTGATATTTTAAAAAGAAAAGTATTTGTAAAGCTATAGACAGCTATCTTATTCTAGACTCAATCAGGGGTATTCATCATTGAGGTAGAAGAAATAGTAAGGATATATATTTATACCACAATTAATATCCTTTTGGCACGTGAATACTAAGAAACAACCACCACCATCTGTAACAAGTATTTATCAATAATATTTGAACTAGAAAATGACCACAATTTCTTACTTGAGAGAAAGAAATCTAGTGGCTTTAAAATTTAATTTATCAATAATGAACTAGATATTAGATTAAAAGTTTAAAAGCATATCGTAGGTAATGAAAAGTGGGTATGTACATCTTTTATGGTAGATATTTCTATGATCTAGTGTATTGCATTGCCTTTTACTGATCTCACCTGAACCACAGAATTGACACTTAACTCCAAACTGTTGTTATGTGTAAGTTTACCTTTTACTTAAAAGTGACTTTCCTCTAACTTCTGAATCAATCTTCTAAGACAAATTTGTAGAAGTGCACAGGATTGAAATGTAAACCGTTAGAGCTTACGTTGGCCGGACGCGGTGGCTCACACCTGTAATCCCAGCACTTTGGGAGGCCGAGGCGGGCGGATCACGAGGTCAGGAGATCAAGACCATCCTGGCTAACACGGTGAAACCCCGTCTCTACTAAAAATACAAAAAAATTAGCCTGGCGTGGCGGCAGGCGCCTGTAGTCCCAGCTACTCGGGAGGCTGAGGCAGGAGAATGGCGTGAACCCAGGAGGCGGAGCTTGCAGTGAGCCGAAATCGCGCCACTGCACTCCAGCCCGGACGACAGAGCAAGACTCCATCTCAAAAAAAAAAAAAAAAAAAAAAAAAAAAAAAAAAAAAGAGGTTACATTAAATAAAATTGCTGACAGACATGCTGCTGGTGGTGGGTGTATTATAACACATTTCCTTGGCTTTTGCCAGTGTGATTAGGGGGAGAAAATTAGTAAATGAATGTGTTAGTAACTGAGAAAAAACCTCAGGGTTTTTTACAGAGTAAGTGAAGAATTAAGTCTGGATCTGTTGACTTCATGTATAATTGAAAGCATTAAAAAAGGTATCATGCTGCTATGAGGAGAAGGGGGAATTGGAGGTTGAATTTTCTTTTGCAGACCTTTATTCTGCAATGTCGCTTACAATAAGTCTTATTTTGAGCCAGTCCAGACACATCATTACAGCTATATGATTCTCAGACCCCAGTTCTAGGCATCTTAGGCAAATAACAAGTGTTATTCACTGGAATGAAAATATCTTGTTTGAAGACTCAATTTCTTTTTTGTTTTTTTAATTATACGTTAAGTTCTAGGGTACATGTGCACAACGTGCAGGTTTGTTACATATGTATACCTGTGCCATGTTGGTGTGCTGCACCCATTAACTCGTCATTTACGTTAGGTATATCTCCTAATGCTATCCCTCCCCCTTCCCGCCACCCTACCACAGGCCCCGGTGTGTGATGTACCCCTTCCTGTGTCCAAGTGTTCTCATTGTTCAATTCCCACCTATGAGTGAGAACATGCAGTGTTTGGTTTTTTGTCCTTGCGATAGTTTGCTGAGAATGATGGTTTCCAGCTTCATCCATGTCCCTACAAAGGACATGAACTCATCCTTTTTTATGGCTGCATAGTATTCCATGGTGTATATGTGCCACATTTTCTTAATCCAGTCTATCATTGATAGACATTTGGGCTGGTTCCAAGTCTTTGCTATTGTGAATAGTGCCGCAATAAACGTGTGCTGAAGACGCAATTTCTTATAAACTCTGCTTTAGGTATCAAAATCCAGAAGAACAAAATGGCCGAGAGTAATTTCCAGTGGCATCAGACTGCATAACGTAAAACTAAACAACACTTTTTTCTAGCATCATCTTCTCAAAACCAAAGGACTTTCAAATGTGTATATATGAGATATTGGAAAACATGCCAGTAGATGGCATATCATTTTATTATGGATACAGTAAAATATCACTCCTTGACCAGGGCAAAATTGACAAAAAAATTCTAAAGTCAAAATACCTTTAAAATTGAGAGCGCTATGTTAAGATTTATTGTACACTATAAGTCTTGTTAGTGTACAAATGTTTAATGAGTCCTGTAAATTTGAACTAAATGTTATTTTAGTTATTTAAATCATCAAATTAAAATGTGGAAACTGTCTACACTATAAACCTATAAATGATCTGCAACTTGGCCTACTCCAAATACCTGTTCGAAATATCTAGACCTTTCTGGTAGTGATAAGGCAAAAATAATTTGAATTTGAGTCAAACAACTTGGTTTCCAGCCTGGGCTATGCCACTTAGTAAGTATTTGACTTTAGGCAACTCAACTGACATCTTTGAGACTCATGTTTGTCTTATGTAAAAAAGGAATGTAATACACACTTCACATATTATAAGAACAAAAGAAAACTATGAAACAAAAAACATTCTGAGAAGCCCAACACAAAATAGATTTTGTTTGTTTTATTTTGTTTTCTTTGTGGGGGAGGCAGATATCCCTGGTTGGGCTTGAACGCAGTAGATTTTTAAGGAGTGTTGTTTAAATCATGTATGGGAAAAAGACAGACAAAGTTATTCAAGAAATAGTGTTATGATAACTATTTGGACTTTAACAAAGAACTTTAATTACCATCTCATATCATATGCCAAAATAAACTTTAAGTAAATGTAAGAGCTAAGTCTAAAATTGAAAACTGTAAAATATCAAGGAAAATATAAATAAATAATGATCTGGTCTGTAGCAGTGAAGGTATTTCTAAGTGTTAAAGAAAAAAAATGAGGGAAACAATTAATAGATTCAATAACACCATAAACAAAGGCAAATAATAGACTGGAAAATATTTGCAACATATATTATTGGCAAATAATTAATGTCCATAAGGAAGAATTCTTACAAGCCAATTAAATAAGGAAGAGTTCTTACAAGCCAATTAAATAAATATTGGAATTTTTAGAAATGAGCTAAGGTCATGAACAAGCAATTCACAAAAGAAGTAATTTTTAAAAAGTTACAGTAACCTAAGAAATGCAAGTTAAAATGGGACATTTTTCTCTTACAGGTTCAGCAATTTATAATAATAATATTCAAGATCCGAAAAAGTGAGATGAAAAGGCCTTCTGCTGGTGATATTGTAAATTGGTGAAATCTTTCTGAAGAGAAATTTGGAAATATGTATTCTAAGCCTTAAAAATATGTGTAACATTTGATCAAGCTATTAAAATATAATTTATTTTTCTAAATAATCAAAAGTTTGAACAGACATTATGCATAAAGATATTCATTGAAGAATTAAAATATCACAAAATTTAAGACAACTAGCATTCTCAACAATAGGGGATTGTTTAAATTGTAGTAGGCTACATAACTGAATAATACGCAGTCATTAAAAGCCACTTTTTACTTTTTAATTGACACACCATAACTGTACAGATTTATGAGATACAGAGTAGTATTTCAACACATGTATACAATATGTAATTATCAAATCAGGGTAGTTAGCATATTCATCACCTTGAACATTTATCATTTTTTGTGTTGTGAACATTCAAAATTATTTCTTCTAGCAATTTGGAAATATACAATAAACTATTGTTAATTATAGTCACCATTCAGTGCTATAGGACATTAGATTTTATTTCTCCTAGCTAGCTGTAATTTTGTATATATTAACACACCTCTCCCTATCATCTCCTCCCTCCTACCTTCTTACCCTCTAATAACCACTATTCTACTCTCTACGTCTGTGAGCTTACCTTTTTTAGCTCCCACATATAAATGAGAACATGTGCTATTTACCTTTCTGTTCCTGATTCATTTCACTTAGCATAACATTCTCCAGGCCCATCCGTCTTGCCACAAATGACTAGATATCATTTTTTATGGCTGAATAATATTCCATTCTGTATACATACCAAACTTTCTTTATCTGTTCATCTGTTATTGGACACCTTGGTTGATTTCAAATCTTGGCTATTGTGAATAGTGCTGCAATTAACATAGAGGGTACAGATATCTCTTTAATATACTGATTTCCCTTAGGTTATATACAAATACACTTGTATACACACATTCTTGAAAAGTATACACCAAAAATTTACAAATTTTTGTTTTCTAGTGTTCTTTCTTTTGTAAGTTTTGTAAAATGAGCATGTGTTAATAAAAAATATATGTATTATTTTAAAACCTATAATTCTGTATCAAAATATAAATATTTAAAGGAAAACTAGTAAAATATCCCTTAAATAATCCACATGAAACATTTAGCTAATAGAAAGTGCTATATAAATATTAGTTATGACTTATTACTATTATCATCATCACTGATTTTCAGCAGAAATATTTAAAGTTCCTTTTTTGTACTTGAAACATGCCACTTCCTCAATGATTCATACATTGTTTTTACTGAGAGGATACTTAAAGATATTCTAGTTCAACTCTCTCATTTTATCAGCAAGGTTATACAGTGTTGATTTGGCTTGCTTAAGGGATTACAGTAAATTTATGGAAAAACTGGGGTCAAACCCAAACTTCCTCCTAAGATCCATATACACATTGCTATATTGGGATTACATTGTTTTAAACCTCACTGAAGGAGTCATTAAAACAGCACATGTCCCTGATCCCTTATCACGTTCTGGGACTCTGAAAACCCACCATACACCAATGGTATAAAAGTTTTCCAATTTTAAAATTTGTAGAAACTTGGCCTCAGATGACATAATGAAATGTCAATGTCTCAGCCCCACTAGAGCATCAGAATAATGTAGGATGTATCAGATTTTGGGGGCTAGAATTTTTGTCATAATTCTAAATAATGAAGAATGATTGATGAATTATTCAGCATCAGAGAAATATTGATTCATTTACACAATGAACATTTATTAAGGTGCTACTCTATGGTAAGCATTGTATGAGGTACTGGGGAATTAGTTGTGAAAAAGATGTATATGGTCTCTGTTCCCATGTAGCTTTCAGTCCAGGATGGAAAGATTTTAGTTCAATTTAGAACAAAATTTAGGAAACAAACATCTGGTTCTACTAAGCTTTCAGACAATCTTATACTCTGCTATCTTTACCCAACTGTACTAGGTTTGATATCTCTATATATTTGATTTTTATATTAAAATATTTATTTGACAAATAAAACTGTGTATATTCAAGGTATACAATGTGATGATTTGATATAAACATACATTGTGTGCTGATTACCACATTCTAATTAATTAACATATCCATTATCACCCATAGTTATCATTTGTGTGTGTGTGTGTGTGTATGTATGTGTACTGAGGACACCTAAAATCCACTCTTATCAAATTTCAAGTAAACAATACAGTATTATTAACTATAGCCACTATGCAGTACATTATATCGCTAACATTTATTCATCTTATAACTGAGTTTCTACCATTTGACCAACATCTCCCTATTTCCCCTAATCTCTATACATTTGATTATGACTGGAGTTTCCCTCCTGAATTATGTGCTGGTACTTTTCTATCCCTGCTTCTGATTCTAGTATTAGAGGATGTAGTCCATACTCACTATGGTAGGGCATGTAACTATAGGCATGACCTTCTACCTCAGAACAAAAGAGAGCTTTTTATAGGGGGAGTAGTGTTTGTAAATTTGGCACTCCTAATGCCTGATTTGGTATTCAGGTTCTTGGGCTTGCAAAAGCAAACCTTTGAAAATTTTTCAAACTTATTTTCTGCTTAAATATCAGCATATTTAATGTATTTGAAGATTTGGGTGCCTAAATCATTAAAAAGAATTGGTTGAGACAGGATCTTGCTCTGTTGCCAAGGCTGGAATGCAGTGGTGTAATCAGAGCTCACTGGAACCTTGAACACCTGGGCTCAAGTGATCCTCCCACCTCAGCCTTCTAAGTAGCTAGGATTACAGGTGTGAGTCACTGATCTTGGCTAAAAACATTTTGTTTTTAGTTTGGCAAGCTGTTAATTATAAAAAAGGGGAAATTTTAGAACTTATTTGTCTTGATGGCAATGTTAGAGAACAAAATGCCAGCTCTGAGGTCTCATCTCTTATTGCTGAGGTTGAAACTTCATTGGTTTATAGGTGGAAATGAAAGGTCAAGGGCCAGGACGATATGACCAGAATTCAAGATTCAAGAACCTGGAGAGCTCAAAGTAATGCAGGAGTAATAGTTGCTTTGCTAGAAAGTTGAGAATCAATCACACACACACAAATAGTTATTTGGCTAAAATATTTGCATTTGGATGTGGCAAGTGGTTAGTCCATTAAGACCTGAAGAATCTGTGGACAGCAAGTGTTTGCACACCTAATATCAGGTTTGGTATATTCTTAATGATCCAAGTGCTAGGTATAAACTCTCAGGGAAAGAGAAAATCAGTTACCCTGAAAATTTATTATATGCACTTCCAGGATCCAGAAACTGGTTGCTGGCTTCACTTTTAATGACTGAATTTGCTATGAGACCTGTGAGAGTTGCAGTGTTTTTGGAGAATATGTATCTATTATCTTTCACCTCAGATAATGAAATTGCATCAAGCTTTAAGGCTTCTACACAGCATAGGATACAATCAATAAAGTAAAGAGAAAAAACACAGAATGGGAGAAGATATTTTCAATCTACCCATCTGACAAGGGATCAGTTACCAGAATATATAAGGAGCTCAAACAACTCTATAGGAAAAACAATCTGATAATTTGATCAAAAGATGGGCAAGAAATTTGAATAGGTACTTGTCCAAAAAAAGACATACAAATGGCAACCAGGCCTATGAAAAGGTTCTCAACGTCATTGATCAGAGAAATGCAAATTGAAACTACAATGAGATATCATCTCACCCCAGTTAAAATGGCTTATATCAAAAAGACAGGCAATTACACATGCTGACAAAGATGTGGAGAAAAGGGAACCCTTGTACACTGTTGACGGGAATGTAAATTATTACGAGGACTATGGAGAAAAATTTGGAGGTGTCTCAAAAAACTAGAAACCTAGCTACCATATAGTCCAGCAGCCCACTGTTGGGAATATACCCAAAACAAACACTATCAGTATATCAAAGACATATCTGCACTCTTAATGTTTGTTTCAGGACTGTTTACTATAGCTAAGATTTAGGAACAACCTGTGTCCCTCAATAGTTGAATGGATGAAGAAAATGTGGTTCATATACCATATACACAATGTAGTACTATTCAGCCATATAAAAGAATGATATCCAATCATTTGCAGCAACATGGATGGAATTGGTGATCATTATGTTAAGTGAAATTAGCCAGGCATAGAAAAGCAAGCATCACATGTTCTCACTTATTTGTGAGATCTAAAAATCAAAACAATTGAACTCATGGACATAGAGCGTTACCAGAGGCTGGAAAGAGTAGTGGGAGGGAAGGGGAAGGTGGGAATGGTTAATTCTAACAAAAAATTTAGTTAGAATTAATAAGACTTGCTATTTGATGGCACAACATCTTGACTATAGTCGATAATTTCTTAATTGTGTTTTTTCTAAATAAAAATGCAATTGGATTGTCTGCAACTCAAATGATAAATGCTTGAGGGGATGGATACTGCATTCTCCATGATGTGCTTATTACACATTGCATGGCTATATCAAAACATCTTATGTATCCCACAAATATACACACCTACTATGTACCTACCAAAAGAAAAAAAATAATAAAACATACAGTACCAGTAACGCACCCATTTGATTACTGTACCTTTTCAGCCTGTGAATTTTAGAATCAGGAAGTGTGAAATATCTAATCTTGTTCATCTATTTCAAGATGGTTTTGGCTAGAGTTCCTTGAGAATCCATGTTAATTTTAGGGTGAGTTTTTTTATTTCTGCAAAAAATGCTGTTGAAATTTTCAAAGAAATTGCACTGAATCTGTAGAGCAATTAGGGTTATACAGTCATATTAATATTGGCTTCTAATTTATAAACATGGCGTGTCTTTTCATTTATTTATATTTTCTTTAATTTCTTTCAACAATGTTTTGTAATTTTCAGTGCACAAAAGTCTTTTATCTCCTTGCTTAAATTTATTCCTAAGTATTTTATTCTTTTGTATACTGTTGTAAATGAGATTTCTAAATAAATTTTTTCTTATGGATTGATTAGTGTTAGTGCGTAGAGATTCAACAGATTGTGCATTGATGTTGTATCCTGAAATTTTGCAAAATTCATTTATTAGCTCTAACATTTTTGTTTGGAATCTTTAGGGCTTCCTACACATAATGATTACATACAGATGTTATCTGCAAAACATGCATGTATTATGTCACTTCTCTAGGAAATGCCTCCAAATTCTTACCATAATTTGGAGTAAAAGTTAAACAATTTTCTTGTCTCAAGAAATAGAAAGATATGCCATCCTCAAATAGAAATCTCTTTACTTCTGGCTTTCCAATTTGGATATTTTTTCTTGCCTATTTCTTTGGCTAGAACTTTCAATACTATATTGAATATAAATGGCAAAAGCAGGAATCCTTGCCATCCTTGCCCTGTTTCTATTCTTGTAAGAAAAGTTTTTAGTTTCTCACCTTTGAGTATAATATTAGCTGTGGGTTTCTCATATATGGCCTGTATCGTCTTCAGAGCATTTCCTTGTATTTTTAGTTAATTGGGTGTTTTTAATCAAGAAAGAGTGCTGAATTTTGTCAATTTTTTTCCATCAATTGACATGACCATAATTGTTTATTTCATTTTATTAATGTGGTGCATTACATTGAATTTCATATGGTGGACCGTCATTGCATTCCAGGAATGAATCCCATTGGTCATAGTGTATAGTCTTTTTAATAACCTGCTGAATTCAGTTTGCTAGCATTTTGTTGAAGCATTGTGCATCAGTATTTATAAGAAATATTGGTCTGTAGTTTTATTTTCTTATAGAGTCGTCGTCTGGCTTTGTCTGGTTTTATCAAACGACTTAGAAAGTGTTCCTTCCTCTTCAACTTTTTGGAAGTGTTTGAGAAGAATTGATACTAATTCTTTAAATATCTCATAAATTTCACCAATGATACCATCTGGTCCTGGGCTTTGCTTTCTTGGGAGGTTTTTGATTACTGATTCAATGTCCTTACTAATTCTAGGTTAAATTAGATTTTCTATTTTTTTCATAAGTCAGTTTTAGTAGATTCTATGTTTTTTGGGAATGTGTCTGTTTCATCCAATCATCTAATTTGTTGGCATACAAATGTCCATAGTAGTCTCTTGTAATCCGTTTTTGGTTAAGATCAATAGTAATGTCCTCACCCCCATTTCTGATTTTCACTTCTGATTTCTTTTCTGATGGTAATTTGTGTCTGATAATTTGAGTCTCTCTCTCTCTTGCTTGCTCTCACTCTCAATCTCAGTCAATATAGCTAAAGGTTTGTCTATTTTTTTTTAAATCTTTTCAGTTAGTGTTTCCTCTTGCCTGAAGGTACAAAGTTGGGTGTTGATTGGAGATCTTCTTTTTCACTGTACACCTTTATAGCTATACATTTTCCTGCTGAATCTTATAGGCTTCACATCTTGTTTGAGAAGCTCTTCCTTATCTTGACATCAGGAAGATATCCTTACATTGTCTTTGAGAAACTTTGTACTTTTCCCTTTTATAATTAGATTTTTTTAGTACTATGTGAGGTAGAGTTTGGCTTTTTTTCACATTGATACTTCATATCTCAGGATCATTTATTGAAAAGTCATCAATTCCTAACTAATTCATAATGTCATCTCTGCCATGTATGTGATGATCGCATAGCTATGAAACTGTTTCTGTCCTGTTTTCTGTTCTGCCAGTTTATGTGTCTATACCAGCATCATTACCACACTGTGTCAGTTGCTACAGCTCTAACACAAGTCTTGATTACTGGTACACGAATTCCTTCATTTTTTTTTCTTCAAGAGTATCTTGGCTGTTCCTAGGCATTTTTGTTTTCATGTAAATTTTAGAATCAGCTTTTCAAGTTTCCTAAAAATAGGATTTTGTTACTGTAATTACATTGTATCAATAGATCAATTCAAATCCTTAAACATGATACATCTCCTAATTTTTTTAGGTCTTCTTTAATGTACCTAAGTAAAGTATAAAAAGTTACTCCTGTGGAAGAGTCACATATATCACATTAGATTTATTCCTGAATATATAGATATACACATAGATATGGACATTTTAATATAATTTTTAATGATTTGATGTTGATATAAGAAATAACCATTGGTTTTTATATTCAGCAACATACTAAGCTCATTTATTAATTCCAAAATTTATCTGTCAATTATTTTGACTTTCTACATAAATAATTGTATTATTTGTGAAAAATAACAGAACTTCCAGCAAAATGTTGAATAGCAGTTGTGATACTCATCATCCTTTCTTTGTGTCTTAATATCAAAGGAGATGTTCTCAATGTTTCATCATGACATATAAAATCTTATGCAGCTTTTTTTTTGGTAGATACCCAGAATCAAATTAAGAAAATTTACTCCCATTTTCCTTCACTAAAAATTTTGTATGACTTTAGTCATAAATTAATGTTTAATTTTATCAAACTTTTAAATAATAAATTAATATTTAATTTTATTAAACTTTTGAATCTACCAATTTAATTTTATGAATTTTCCCTCAATTTGTTAAACGGTCATTACATTATGCAGTTTCTTAAAACTAGACAAATTTTAATATCCAGGAATAAGCTCCATTGGTCATGATATATTGTTCTTTCTACACATTGCTTCATTCTGTTTATATTTTGTTTAGGAAATTTCAATCTGTGTTCATGAGTGATACTGCCTTTATCTTTTCTTATATGATCCTTGATAGATTTTGGTAACATAAATAATCTATTCTCATAAAATGAGTAGGGTAATATTCCTTCTTTTTCTTATTCTCTTGTAGAGTTTGTGTAACAATAAAATTATTTTTAAATATTTGGTGTAAATCATCTAAGGTAATTAAGCTTGGGGTTTTCTTTGGAAAAAAATAGTGGGACAGCTTATACAATTTTCTTAATAGTTGTAATACACTCAGGTTTTCTATTTGTTTTTGAGTAGATTTTGAAATATTTTACCCCAAGGAAAATTGTCCATTTCTTTTACATTTTCAAAATTATTGGGATAAAATTATTAATGATGGCCTTTTATATCTGTTATAGTTATTACATTGTGTTCGACATAATCCCGAAAAAACATAATCCCAAATGTTGAAATTGCAAAATATCAAAATTGCCAATGATCAAAATCCCTCAAGTCTAAATAAGTTCCTAACATCTAAAACCCCAAAATCACAATTGCAGAATAGGTGCATCATGTTACATTGTGATAATTCTTTTTTCAATTCCTGATATTACTTATCTGTTCTTCCACCAACCCACATTCATTATTACTCACTCTTCCTACCTCTCTCCTCTCCATTCCCCATCCCCTACTCTCTATCTTAATAAGTATTGTCAAAGAACATGCCCTTGTAATTTCAGTCTTTTGAACTTTGTGGACATAACATCATTTGCCTCCCAAGTAACTGCAAGAAACTATTTTAACAAATGCTTTGCCATATAATGTCATAAATCACTATCTTCCCAAGCTCTAGTATCAGTTTTCTTACCATCCAATAGCAACCTCTTAACCAAAGCCATATATTTTATATACATTTTTATGGTATACTTCCACATCGAGTTATAGATTTCTGCATTAGCTAGAATAAGCTTCAAGGTACAGCTCTGGTATTTTATAAATAAATATGTTATGTGTGCAAGAGTATATATTCTGTAGCTGTTTTAGCTTTGAATTTTATTTGTTGGAAACCTTTTGTCAAGTTTATTGATCACCTTATTCAAATCTTCTATATGTTTACTGATTTATTTCTGCTTATTTTATGAATTAATGGGATTGGCTTTCTGTTTCCTCTTGCATTTCTGTCAATATTTGCTTTATAAATTTGAAGGCTATGCTATTAGATGCATGCATACATGTTCTTTTCACATTATTTCTGGTGAATTGAAACTTTATCACCATTAAGTGGTGGGTTTGGATTATAATCCTGAAAGACATAATCCTGAAAAAACATAATCCCAAATGTTGAAATTGCAAAATATCAAAATTCCTAAAGGTCAAAATCCCTAAAGTCTAAATAAGTCCCTAACATCTAAAACCCCCAAAATCACAACTGCAGAATAGGTGCATCATGTTAGAAGGAACTATTACCTTGCTATTGTCTTTATTTCGAAATTAAGTATGGTTTAAGGAAATGTGTATGGGTACCACGTTGACAAGGTGTGGATTTGTGCACTTAATTTTAGGTGTCAATTTGACTGGATTGAGGAATACCTAGAAACCTAGTACAGCAATTCACTATGCTATGTATTTCATTTTCCCTTATTTCCAATACTGGAGGTATAGATTGTGTAAAGACTTTTAGAGAATTCTAATTTTTTTTTTGCATTTTTTTGCAAACTTGACATCACAAATATGAATTATCACAACATTGACTTTATGTGTAAACATTGTGTGTGTGCATTAAAACGTTGAAACCTTCTCAAATGAAGAAAAGTCTTTGTTATACATCTATATTTGTAAAAGATAAAATTTCTTGAGTCCTTGGCATATGTGACAGTGACTCATCATGGTTTTTCATCAATCTTGTCAAGACTTACATTGTTTCTCACAGTATTTCACATGATCGCAGTTATAAAGCTGGGTGCACACAATTACCAACATAGTGATATGCATTTTTATATTTCCCTTTGTGAGCTATTTTTTATGAATGTGGTTCATCTGCTCATAACTATTACATGCATGTGACTGTCATTAGTATACCCAAGTCTTTATGCTTGCAAAATTATATGTAATTATTGCCTATTTTATTGTGTAAAGTGGCCTATGAAGTATTGTCATGACTTTATACATTTCTCAAAAAAATCCCCTTTTAAAAATGTAAACAAATATCTTTTAAAAATTTATTACTTTTTTAAGAATTATATTTTCTGTATTATGGCATTCAAGCTTGTGTTTTTTTGGGATTATGATTGGCTCCTGAAGTGACTTGTTTCATGAATACTGGTGCTTTCCTACATTAAAGTCTGTCTTGTGTGACATCGTTATACCAGTTTTTTATAAATAAATAAATTATTTTTACAAATGATGATAAAAATAATAAATGAAATAGTTAACTGCTATTTCTGTGTGTATTTCCTTTATGGAATGTATGTATGTATCTTAATTGACAAATATAATTGTATATATTTATAGTTCATAACGTTTGTTTAAAATTTATATACATTATGGAATAGCTAAATCAAGCAAATTGACAAATGCGTAACTTCACATACTTACCATTTTTCTGTGGTGAGAACACTTAAATACACTCCGAGCCATTTTCGAGAATACAGTACATTGTTATTAACTGTAGTCACTACGTTGTACAACAGATCTTAAACTTATTCCTCCTGAATAACCAAAATTTTTTATCCTTTGCCAACACCTCCCAGCCCCCAGACCCTGGTAACCACCATTCTACTCTCTATTAGTTCATATTTTTAAAATACCACATGTAAGTGAGATCATGCAGTGTTTGTCTTGCTATACCTGGCTTATTTCACTTAACAATGTCCTTCAGGTTTATCCATGTTGTTGCAAATGACAGGATTTCCTCCTTTTCAAAGTCTGAATATACTCCATTTTGTACATATAAGTGAACCCAAAATAATCTGAGACAGGTCTTAATTAATTTAGAAAGTTTATTTTCCCAAGGTTAAGGACGTGCCCGTGACACAGCCTCAGGACATCCTGACCTGTGCCCAAGGCGGTCAGGGTACAGCTTGGTTTTATACATTTTAGGGAAACATGAAACGTCAATCAATGTGTGAGATGTACATTGGTTCAGTCCAGAAAGGCGGGACAACTTGAAATGGGGAAGTAGTGGGATGTGGGGTTACGGTGGAGCTTCCAGGTCATAGGGAAATAGGAGACAAACAGTTGTATTCTTTTGAGTCTTTGATCACACATTCACGAAATAAAAAATTTACTTGTGAGAAGGGGGTAGAGGAATAGTTACTTACGCCTTAGTCTGGCTCAGTGAATCTGCATATTTACGTAAACAACAGGACACAGGAAGCAATCAGATATGTATTTGTCTCAGGTAATCAGAGGGATAACTGAGTTCTGTCCGTCCTGTGCCCTACACGTGTGAAGATAAGCTATCATTTTACATTGCCAAGGTGAAATTCAACAGAACTGTTTTAGGGTAAAGATCTTGAGGCCCACAAGGAATTTGCTTGTGGGCAAATTGTGAGGGAACTATGTAGCTTTTAAAAATCTTTGTAGCTATCTTATTTAGGAATAAAATGGGAGGCAGGTTTGCCTGACACAGTTCTCAGCTCGACATTTCCGTTTGGCTTACTGATTTTGCGGTTACGACATTTATTTTCCTTTAAAATACATTACATTTTATTATTCATTCATTTGTGGATGGACACTTACGTTGATTCTGTGTCTTGGCTAATTGTGAATAATGCTGTAATGAACATGGGAGTATTTCTTCAAGATATCTTTTACTAGGGGGATTGCGGGCAGTTCTATTTTTAATTTTTTAAGGAACTTCCATACTGTTTTCCATAATGGCTGTACTAATTGGAATTCCCCCCAACAGTGTGCAAGTATTCCTTTTTCTCCACATCCTCTCCAACATTTATGTTTTGTGTTTTTGGTAATAACCATTCTAACAGGTGTGAAGTGATGTTTCATTTTGGTTTTAATTTGCATTTCCCTGATGATTAATAATATTGAGCATTTTTTCATGTAACTGGCTGTTTGCATGTGTTTTTTTGAGAAAAGTCTATTCAAATCATTTGCCCATTTTTAATTGGGCTGTTTATTTTCTTGTTATTGAGTTGTTTGAGTTCCTTATATATTTTGGATATTAATCCCTTATCAGATATATGGTTTGCAAATATTGTCTCTTCACTCTCTTTATTGCTTCCTTTGTTGTGCCAAATCTTTTCAGTTTGATGTAATCTCATTTGTCTATTTTTGCTATTGTTGCCTGTGCTTTTGTGATCATATCCAAAAAATCACTGCCTAGACTAATGTTAAGAAAAATTTCCCCTATGCTTACTTCTAGTCATTTTACTGCTTCAGGATATGTGTTTAAGTCTTTAATCCATTTAGAGTTGATTTTTGTATATGATGTGAGATAAGGGTCTAATTTCCTTCCTCTGCATGTAAGTATACAGCTTTCCCAACACATTTATTGAAAAGACTGTCCTTTCCACACTGTGTGTTCTTTGTCACAAAGGTGTCATTGTGCACCTTTGTCAAAAATCAACTGACCATAAATTCACAGATTTATTTATGAGCTCTCTATTGTGTTCCATTGGTCTAGGTGTCTGTTTTTATGCCAGTACATGCTGTTTTGATTATTGTAGTTCTGAAGTATATTTTGAAGTCTGGTAGCATGATGCCTCCAGCTTGAGTCTTTTATTTTCAAATTTTTTGGCTATCCTGGATCTTTTGTGATTCCATGAAAATTTTACAATTGATAAACTGCGATTTTTAAATTAATATTTATATGGCACACAATTTTCTATTCTTTACTTCTCATCTTTCCTTAGCCTTAGGTTGCATATGGCCCTGTTTTAAAGCTTACAGTTAGATTTTATCCCACAACCTTATAAACTATCTCTGAACTAGAGTATGAATACATTTACATTTAATGTCATCACTGATACATATAGATTTATATTTCCCATGTTACTTCATGTTTTGTATTAGTCCTGATTGTTCTTTTTCATTTTCTCTTTCTTTTTCACTTTTCAACCATTTTTTTAAATTTCAAGTTTCTTCCTGATAATTGTTTGGAAATCATGGAATGTATTTCTTATCCTTTAGTGTTCCTCCATATAGGACAACATCCACAGTTTGAATATTAAAGTTGTAAGTAAGTGAAATTCTTTAGTCACCTCTCAGACAATACAGTAGGTTTCTAGCACTTTAATTCCATTCAACTGCTTTCAACTTATGTTATTGATGTCATATATTTTAATTCATACCTTCTTAAAAACTTAAATTCCAAGATTCAAAAAATTGAGCTCCAAGGGTAAACCCCAATGTAAACTATGGGTTTTGAGTGATAATGACATGTCAATGTGAGTTCATCAGTTGTAACAAATGTACCACCTGAGCAAAGGATGTTGAAAATAGGGGAGGCTATGTGTATGTCTGGGGTGGGGGACCCAGGGAACATATGGGAAATCTCTGTACCTTCTGCTCAATTTCATTTCATGAACCTAAAACTGCTCTAAAAATGACATTTATTTAAAAATTGAATCCCACAGACATCACTTATTGTTTTATACAGTAAATATTCATTTAGATTTATCCACATATTTACCACTATTTTTATCATTTTCTTCTAAGATTACTTTTTTCTTCCTTGAGAACATTCTTTCAAATTCTTCCTTGTGAAGGTTGTCTTGTGATGACTCTTTCAGTTTATTTTTGTCTGATAATATTTTCATCTTATCTTATCCTTGAAAGATATTTCACTTGATACAGAATTGTAAATTGGCAGATTTTATTTTTTTTTCAGAATAATGAATATATTATTCCACTGTCTTTTGACTGCCATTGTTCCACTGAGATACCAGATGTTTATCTGCTTTCCACTTATTTGGATATTTATATTTTTTAGATTGCCATTAAGTGTTTCTCTCTCTCTCTCTAGTGTTTGGCTGTTTTCTTATGTCTCTAGGTGTGAATTTCTTTTATTTTTAAAATTCATGAAGCTTCTTGAATCTTTGGTGTCTTTGATCATTACTAGAAAATTATAATCAGTATATCTTTAAATATTGCTTCCACTTTGTCTTGTTTCTTTCCTCTTTCTGGGACTATAATTAACCACATTTTAAAATTCTATTTTCTTTGCTTCTTACCTCACTTACTTATATTCAATCTTTTATCTCTCTGTGTTTGCATCATGGATAATATATTCTGATCTATGTTACAGTTTACAAATTCTCTCTTCAGTTATATCTAATTTCCTTTTAAAAGCCCCCATTTATGTGTTTTTTAGGTTTTCTTACTGTGTTTACTAAGTGCTACCAAATATGCTTGTATCAAATCTCCTCTACCATTTTTATAGTTTCTTGTTTTCTTTAAAATTGTTAATACTCTCTTCTAGCTCTCTAAACCGATTAAACATAGTTGCTTTAAAATGTATTTCTGATAATTCTATTATCTGACATCTTCTTTGAGGATCTGCTGTTTTTCCCTCCTGGGACCCGGCTTTCTTATATACTTGATTATTTTTGTGTGTCATTCGTTGTCCTTGAACAAATAACATTGTTCTTGAGGATAATCTGAAAGCTAGAATAAAGGCAACTTCATTCAGAAGGAATTCACAGGTACTTATGGGTGTCACTGCATGTCTGTTACCATATTAAATTAATTTCACAGCTTGATGGTTTCTAGATTATACAGGTGATATATATTTAAATTACAAAAAAATAGTTTACTTCTGGTTTACTTTTATGCTGAGAGTCTATACTTTGAGGACTCAGCTTTCAAAGTTTAAAATTTTCCAGATTGCCATATGTTTTCAGAGCCAAAGGAACTTTTTGTTTTTCTTACCTCTGTGGATTTTCACTCCCCCTTCAATTTTTCCTGATAATTCCTAGCTATTGTATCATTTAGCCATTGCTTCTAAAGAGATCTTTAAAACAAATATTTGGTCTACCATTTTAATTTGTTATTCAAGAAGAGTTGATTAGAATAATGTATCCTCTTATTACAGCAACTGAAATCTTTCCCTTATTTTTTTTCAGGCTTAGCTATGCATTTAAAAGGATGTTGTTATGTTTCCCACATTTCTAGGTGTACCTATAGTGAGAGAGTCTTCATGTTTCTGACCATAAAGCCAGAAATAAAAGTCTCCCAAGTTTATATTTAATGAATTTCTCAAATACATATGCAGAAAGAATATTCCAGTGAGCTGGGCCAAACTGTGCATGGCCTTCATGTCCAATGCCTACATTAAAGAGAAGCCTGAGGTGCCCATTCTGTTCCTCCTTTTACCTGAGTTATCGTCTCACAGCAGAAATTTTTAAGGTGCCCACATTAGCTTTACCCTGGCTTTTACCCTGGCCTAATATTTTCCAGTCCTATATTACCACATCAATCACTTGGGAAAGAAGAGAGATATTGTACTAGTCTAGCATTATTTGTATTCCCTTGACCTAATTTGATAAAAGCTCCACCACATGAAACAATTTGTTTGCCTAATTGTATCTTTGAGGACTCCATTTTGTCTTAATCAGTATCATTGTTTCTGTTTTTGGAGAGTATAATACAAGGGGTGAGTGAGTGGTAGTATGGTGGTGGTGGAAATGTTTATGCATTTAATACCTCTAAGATGGGTGTGTAACCAAAATTTGTCCTGTGTTGTAGCTTGGAGAATTTACATTACTAGGCTTAAGTGCTATTAAAATAGTAGCCAACTTTCATGGTCCTTGGAGGCATTTGTAGTATTTCAGCAGTGGCAAGGCTGACAGAAGTTTATATTTTCCCCCTAGTAGTTCTTTCCTTTTTAGTACTTTCCTGGATCTAAGGTTTACCTTCAGATATGACATCAGATAAATTGTTCTTATTTCTAGAAATTCCTTGACTACATGTTTGAAGTGCCAATAATATTCTTGTCTTTCTTCCTTTGTCAAGGTATGACGTTCCTTTTTATAAAGTTGTACTTTAAGGTAGTTAGTATCGCCATCTGATAGATGACTCAATTCAGATGAAAAATGTCTTCATTTATAGAACATAGGCTTTAAAACTGAATAATTTCCATACTTTGACACTTTAGTCACTCCCTAAATTTGTGTATCTAGTTACTTAAAAAGAAGTATGCTTAATTCTAGTTGCACAAGATTTAATAGTTTTTCCACACTTGTAAGAAATTTCACAATTGTGCTAGTATGCTCACTTCATGCTTCTAAAATAATTAACTCTATCTATTCCCCTTCTAGCTCTTCCAATGTAAAGTAATCTTTCTTAAGGTCTTTATCTATTTTTTGTTAACAGTTTAATTATTTCTGCAAATTTAACATTTCACATAGAGATGAAAAGTGTACAATTTTCAAAATGTCCTAAAGAGTACAGTCACTTAGGTTCTGAAATTCTCATGTCTCAAATTGAGAAGGAGGCAAAATTGGTCTTCACTTCAAATATTTCCCTGTAACATCCATTCCTGTCCGTCTTCTTTTCCTTTCATGGTCTCATCGCCTACCTGGTTTCTTCCTCTACTCCTAATCCAATAAAGAGCCTACTCTGCTACTGGTAAAGTACACTTTAGTGTTAACATTTTCCAGAGTATCAAGTAGTAATGCAAGAAATTGTTTCTTTTTCTTCTTCCTTTCTCTACGGCAAGATGAACAAAGCTGAAAGAAGGTGTCAGAGATGGCCCAGACCCAGCTAACAAATGTACAGCAATGAACACTGGGTAAGAATCTCCATTTTCCTGAGGGGCAAGGGACCTGGGACACTCTTTCCATTGACCACAAGTAATTCTGGGGACTTCAAGCTCTGAAATTCAAAAGCTTATAATGGTCTGACTCATTGCCCTTAGGTGCGTTCCATGAAGAACTCCATACAAGATGAAAATGGTAAGGGATCTTCATTACTCTAATGATTTCTCAGAATGGTGGTGAGGAAGGTATTTTTCAAGTCAGCTATGGAACCCTGATATCTGGACAAATCTGCATCACGATCACCAGGCCACTAGAGAAAGACTACTTCTTTCTAAACTCTCAATTTACCTTTTCCTACTTGATCATATAAAATGAATCTTATGTATTAAAATTTACCCTATCCAGTGCCAGAAATCCACAAATTATTGCAGCTACCCTTTTATTCATTTATTCATTTATTCCACAAATATTTATTAAGTGTTTTATTATGTGACAGGTACTGTTTGAGCTTCTTGGAATATAGCTGTCAACAAAACTAACAAGAGGACGAGATTGCAGCTCCCACTCAGATGGACAGAGCAGTCTGTGGAGACTCGCATCATAAACTTTTGCTCCAGGACTACTGCAGGAATAATTCAGGAAAGCCAAGAGAAACCACAGACCCTCTGAAGGAAGCTGATTGCTCCTGCAGGACCTGGGAGACACCCCAAATACTGTGAGTGCCCAAACTGTGGAAGTGGGAAAGAGAGATCGTCTGCCCCCAAACACAAACCCGTAATGGGGAACCTGAAGATCTAGATCACAGAAGAAGACTCTGACCTTACCTAGAGCTGAGTCAATTTAGAGAGTTGAGTGAAATACAAGGGTAGAGTAAGAAGTGGGGAAAGCCCTATGGGTTCTCTGGGTCCCCCAGGGAGCCATTTCTGACTTGCTTCATAGGGGTCCTTGGGGAGGACTGCCAGAGGTACTTGGAAAAGGCCACAGGGAGAAGAAAACCTCCAGCTGAATTTTGTAACAACTCCAATGAAATGAGAAGTCTCCTGGCCGGAACACAGGGGAGGGCATTAATCCAGTGTGCAGACTCCACAGGTGGGGAAGCTTGAAAGCCCTATTTGCTTTCGCAACTGGAAGGCTGGTAACCTGGGGAAAGTTCTAAGCCCTGCTCATCCACTGCTTGGAAACAGACTCTGTGCTGTTGGGATGAGGGGGCAGGGTGGGAGTGAGACCAGCCTTTTGGGTTGTGTGGGAGCTGGGTGAGGGCCGTGACTGCAGGCTTTCCCTGACTTTCCTGATAACCTGCATGACACAGCAGAGGCAGCCATAATCCTCCTAGGAACATAACTCCATTGACCAGAAAACCACATCCTCATCCCCCACAGCAGCCACAGCAAGACACACCCAAGGAGAGTCTGAGCTCAGACACTCCAAGCCTTGGCCCTTCCAGATGGTCCTTCCCTACCCAAGCTGGTAGTGAAGACAAAGGGCCTATATTCTTGTAAGTTTTGGGCCCCCACCCACTGCCTGATCCTCCCTATACTACCACAACAGAGGCTCTCTCGAAAGTGCCACCTCCTGGCAGAAGACCAACCAGAACAAATATAGTACATTAAACAACCAAAACTAAGGACCCTCACAGAATGCATTTCACCCCCCTGCCACCTCCACCAAAACAGGAGCTGGTATCCATGACTGAGAGACCTACAGACAGTTCATATCACAGGACTCTGTGAAGGCAACCTTCAGTACCAGCCCAAAGCCTGGTAGACCTGCTGGGTGGCTAGGTCCAAAAAAGACATAACAATCACTACAGCTAGGCTATCAGGAAGCCACATCCTTAGGAAAAGGGGGAGAGTACTACATCAAGGGAACACACAGTAGGACAAAACAATTTGAACAATAGTCTTGAGCCCTAGACCTTCCCTCTGACAGAGACTATTCAAATGAGAAGAAACCAGAAAACCAACTCTGGTAATAAGACAAAACAAAGTTATTTAACACCCCCCAAAATCACACTAGCTCACCAGCAATGATCCAAACCAAGAAGAAATCCCTGATTTATCTGAGAAAGAATTCATAAAGTAAGTTATTAAGCTAATCAAGGAAGTACCAGAGAAAGGCAAAGTCAAATTTAAGAAAATTTTTAAAAAGATACAAGAATGAGGAGAGAAATCTTCAGTGAAAAACATAGCATAAATAAAAAACAAAACTTCAGGAAACAATGGACACACTTAAAGAAATGCAAAATGCTCGGGAAATTCTCAGCAATAAAATCAAATGCAGAAGAAAGAATTTCAGAGCTTGAAGATAAAGTTTTTGAATTAACCCAATCCAACAAAGACAAAGTAAAAAGAATAAAAAATATGAGCAAAGCCTCCAAAAAGTCTAGAATTACGTTAAATGACCAAACCCGAAAATAATCAGAGTTACTCAGGAAGAAGAGAAATCTAAAAGTTTGGAAAATATATTTGGGGAAATAATTGAGGAAAACTTCCCTGACCTTGCTAGAGACCTAGACATCCAAATACAAGAAGCTCAAAGAACACCTGGGAAATTTGTCGCAAAAATATTATTCCTTAGGCACATTGTCATCACATTATCTAAAATTAAGATGAAAGAAAGTATCTTTCAGCTGTTAGGCAGAAGCATCAGGTAATCTATAAAAGAAAACCTAACAGATTCACAGGAGATTTCACAGGGAACACTTCTACACTGCTGGTGGGAATGTAAACTAGTACCTATCAGATTCACAACAGATTCACAAGGATTTCATGACCAAGAACCCAAAAGCAAATCCAACAAAACAAAGATAAATTACTGGGTCTTAATTAAACTAAAGAGATTTTACAGGGCAAAAAGAAGAGTCAGTGGAGTAAACAGACAACCCACAGAGTTGGAGAAAATCTTCACAATGTATACATCTGACATAGACTGTTATCCAGAATCTACAATGAAATAAAGCAAATTAGCAAGAAAAAAACAAACAATCCCATTAAAAAGTGGCCTAAGGACATGAATAGGCAATTCTCAAAGAAGATATACAGATGGCAAACAAACATATAAATAAATGCCCAACATCACTAATGATCATGGAAATGCAAATCGAAACCACAATGCAGTACCACCTTACTCCCACAAGAACGGCCATAATAAAAAAAATAATAGATGTTGGCATGGATGCGGTGAAGAGGGAACACTTCTACACTGCTGGTGGGAATGTAAACTAGTACAACCACTGTGGAAAATTGTGTGGAGATTTCTTAAAGAACAAAAAATACATCTACCATTTAATCCAGCAATCCCACTACTGGGTACCTACCCAGAGGAAATGAAGTCATTATACAAAAAAAAAAAAAAAAAAAAGAAAGATATTTGCACATGCATGTTTATAGCAGCACAATTAGTAATTGAAAAATATGGAGCCAACCCAAATGCCCATCAGTCAATGAGTAGATAAAGAAACTGTGATATATGTATAAATATATGATTGAATACTACTCATATATATATATATATACATACATATGTGTATATATATGACGGACTACTACTCAGCCATAAAAAGGAATGAATTGATGACATTTGCAGCAACCTGGATGAGATTGGATACTATTATTCGAAGTGAAGTAACTCAGGAATGGAAAACCAAACATCATATGTTCTCACTCATAAGTGGGAGCTAAACTATGAGGGTGCAAAAGCATAAGAATAACAAAATGGACTTCGGGTACTCAAAGGGAAAGGGTGGGAATGGGGTGAGGGATAAAAGACTACAAATTGGGTGCAGTGTATACTGCTCGGGCGATGGGTGCACCAAAATCTCACAAGCCACCGCTAAAGAACTTACTCATGTAACCAAACACCATCTGTTCCCCAGTAACATACAGAAATAAAAAATTAAAAATTAAAAACACAGACAAGATTCCTTCCCTCATGGAACTTACCATCTATGAAGGAAAGAAGAAGACAATTAACAAATAAACAATATATAATATAATGTCATATCATGAAAATTTGTAGAAGAAAAAAAATTAAGGCTGGGTAAGTGTCTCAGAAGACAGTGTGTCTTTTTTTTTTTTTTTATAGGATGGTCAAGGCATAATGACCATACTGTAACTTCCTGTAGCTATGAATTTCTATTACCTTCAAGGCTTTTTGGTATCCAAGATATAAAGCAGTTTATTCATGGTAGGAAATATGGAATATGAACCAGTTGGTTCTGCTGTGCATGGCCCTTTAGATAGAAGGCACAGTGTGGGTAAGAATATGGAAAACAGTCCTCTTGGCCATTGAGGTAGTGTTGCGGGAAGTCAGGGACCCCAAAGAAAGGGACCGGCTGAAGCCATGGCAGAAGAACGTGGATTGTGAAGATTTTATGGACATTTATTAGTTCCCCAAATTAATACTTTTGTAATTTCTTATGCTTGTCTTTACTGCAATCTCTAAACATAAATTGTAAAGATTTCATGCACACTTGTCACTTTCCCAATCAATACCCTTGTGCTTTCCTATGCCTGTCTTTACTTTAATCTCTTAATCCTGTCAGCTGAGGAGGATGTATGTCGCTTCAGGACCATGTGATAATTGCGTTAACTGCACAAATTGTATAGCATGTGTGTTTGAGCAATATGAAATCTGAGCATCTTGAAAAAAGAACAGGATAACAGCAATTGTTCAGGGAATAAGAGAGATAACCTTAAACTCTGACCGCCAGTGAGCCAGGCAGAACAGAGCCATATTTCTCTTCTTTCAAAAGCAAATGGGAGAAATATCGCTGAATTCTTTTTCTCAGCATGGAACATCCCTGAGAAAGAGAATACGCGCCTGGAGGTATCAGCTTATAAACAGCCTCCCTGGGCGTGGCCTGTCTCTTATGGTCGAAACTGCAGAGACGAAATATACTCCAGTCTCCCATAACACTCCCAGGCTTATTAGGAAGAGGAAATTCCCACCTAATAAATTTTGGTCAGACCGGTTGATCTCAAAACCCTGTCTCCTGATAAGATGTTATCAATGACAGTAGTACCCAAAACTTCATTAGCAATTTTAATTTTGCCTGGGTCCTGTGGTCCTGTGATGTTGCCCTGCCTCCACTTGCCTTGTGATATTCTGTTACCCTGTTAAGTAGTTGATGTCTGTCACCCACACCTATTCGCACACTCCCTCCCCTTTTCAAAATCTCTAATAAAAACTTGCTGGTTTTTGTGGCTTGGGAGGCATCACGGATCCTACCAACGTGTGATGTCTCCCCCGGATGCCCAGCTTTAAGATTTCTCTCTTTTGTACTCTGTCCCTTTATTTCTCAAGTCAGCTGACACTTAGGAAAAATAGAAAAGAACCTATGTGATTATTGGGGCAGGTGCCCCAATGAGGTAGAGCTAAGAAAGAGCAGGTCCTCAGAGGGCTTGCTGGATATTAGGCTCATGACGTCTTTAAAAATAATAGTTATATAAACTTTAAATATACACAAAAGTAAAAAGAGAAAAAAAAGCCCCATACATCCATAACTCAGATTGAAAATTTTCAACATTTTGCCACTTTTGCTCTATCTAAACCCCTTATTTTGTTGACTATTTCAAAGCGAAACCTGGATATCACATTTTTTCATCTGTACATATTTTAGTATGTATCTCTATAAAAATGAACATTTTCTTACACAATCATAATGCTAATATTATACTTACCAAAATGAAAATGATTTCTTGGTACCATCTACTACATAGTCCATAATCAAATTTTCCTGATAAGACCTTTTTTTTTTAGAAAAGAATGTAAATACCACAGAAAGCAGTATAGCAAAGTGCTTAAGAATAACGGGCTTTGAAGTTAAGTACAAATAAGTTTGAATCCTGGTTCTTCCACATACAAGCCTCTGTAAGATCTGCCTCCTCCTCTGAAAAAGGGGATGGTAATCTCTCATAGAGTTGTTGTAGAGCTTAAATGAGAAAATATATGTAAATAATTTATTATAGTATCTGGCATAAAGTTATCATTCAATAAAATGGCAAATATTACTATTACTAGGTGTGGTATGAGAAAAAGGGAACAGAATACACCTTAAATCTGGAAAATGTGGGTTTTCCTTTTCATAGTACTAGCTATGGAAAAATTTCTAAAACATTTGTTTGGTTATACAAAACTCATGCCAATTAAGGTCATTTACATGGAATGTTTATAAATTTCTGCTTTATTGTCATGGTTATTCATATTCAGTATTCTTATCTGTATAACAGAATTTATGCTATCTGGGTTGTGAAGATTAAATGAGATGCCATATATAAATATATCCACTACATTGTTCAATATTATGGAAGCTTAGTAAATGTAGATTAGATCTGAGTTTATAAATTTCTGACTTTGTTTTATTTGATTACAGCATTAAATTATTCATGTATGCTGAGACTTCACAGTTTATTGCTCATGATATACACAGATTAAAAATATTACAGAAGATGTTACTTAGGAACAAGTTTATTTAGAAAGAGGAAAGTTGACTAGATGAATTCTTGTGGTCTCTGGCAGCCCTATAACTCTAAGTTATATTGAATACTTTTTCCCTAAGTTTTAGAATGCCATTGCTGACCTTTGTCCAGATAAAATAGAGGTTGCCTTTAATATTTGAGGCTATTGGCCATTGTTTCCAGGTGAATTTGTTCAGAACATCCAGAGTAATTCACTAAAAGAAGGCACTGATGTAAAAATAGATCTAATCCATGAGTCTTTAAAATGAAGTTCCTATGGTCTGTTGCAATCTTTTCTTCATTTTTTAAATTATATTTTATTTCTATTTTTAATTTTAATGGATGCATAAAAGTTGTAAATATTTATGAGGTACACATGATATTTTGATACAAGCATACAATGGATAAAGATCAAAACAGGGTGATTGGGATATCCATTGCCTCAAACATTTATCATTTCTTTGTGTTGGGAACATTCCAAATCTACTCCTCTAGTGATTTTGAGATATAAAATAAAATTGTTAACTATAGTTACCCTTAATTACAGTTGCCCTATTGTGCTACTGAATACTCGATCTTATTCCTACTATCTAACTGTATTTTTGCACCCATTAACCAAACTCTCTTCTTTCCCCCCTCCCTACTACCCTTTTAAGCCTCTGGTAACCATCGCTATACTCTCTATCTCCATGAGGTCAATTTTTTAGCTTCCATATATGAGTAAGAATATGTGACATTTATCTTTCTGTGCCTGGCTCATTTAATTAAACATAATATCCTCTAGTTCCATCTATGTTGTTGCAAATGACAGAATTTTATTTTTCATGGATGAATAATATGCCATTTTGTATATGTAGCCCCCATTTTCTTTTTTATAATTTAAAATATTTTGTGGGTACATAGTAGGTGTATATATTTATGGCATACATGAGGTATTTTGATACAAGCATGCAATGTGAAATAAACACATCATGTAAAACGGGGTATCCATCCTTTTAAGCTTTACACTTTGAGTTACAAACAATCCAATTACATAATTTATTCTAAAATATACTAATAAGTTCTTATTGACTATAGTCACCCTACTGTCCTATCAAATAGTAGATCTTATTCATTCTTTGTAATTTTGTACTCATTAACCATCCCCACCTCCATCTCAACTTCCCTCTACCCTTCTCAGCCTCTGGTACCATCCTTCTGCTCTCTGTGTCCATGAGTTCAATTGTTTTGATTTTTAGATCCCCCAAATAAGTGAGAACATATGATGTTTTGTCTTTCTGTGCCTGGCTTGTTTCACTTAATATAATGATCTCCAGTTCCATCCATATTGATGCAAATGACTGGAACTCATTCTTTTTGATGGCTGAATAGTGCACCATTGTGTATATGTACCACATTTTCTTCATTCTTCTGTTCATGGACACTTAGGTAGATTCCATATCTTGGCTATTGTGAATATGCTGCAGTAAACATGGGAGTGCAGATACCTCTTCAATATACTGACTTCTGTTGCAGTATTAACGCTCATTTTTGCCAAGCGTTACTTTCAGTTGTGCAATATTTCACACATCATTTCAGCACGCACCTTCTTTTTCTTCAGATCCTGCTTCCATAACTGATCACTGAGTTCCAAGTCTTGCTTAAAAATCTCAGTCAGAACACTAACCTATTTGATGTAGTCCTTACCAAGCCTAGCTTATATTTAAAACTCTCTTCACCAACATCCTCCGCCATTACCTATCAAATAAACTTTCTTAAAAGACACACCTGCTAGCCCCGACATATTATTTAAGGGTACTTTTGATTCTTTTTTATAACGTTAAAGGTAAAACTTAGGATAAGGTGAATTACTATTATCACCAAATTGCTTAGCTATCCAATAACAATATTCCAAGAATGAATTGGATTCAATATATTAGCTAAGTAAATTATTCTATTTTAAATTTTAAAAGTGAATTTTTACTGTGCAAACATAGTGAAATCTTTTCACTCCTTTCAAATGAAAACTCATTTTTTCAGCTAGACCTCATCTTTTAGTAGTAAACAAATTAAAGTTAATCATTCCTTCCTAGTTAATTTCAAAGTACTTCTCTATACTCTGTTCTCATATTCTGCTTTCCTATACCCTCAGTAGTGTGCTAGTAAATGTTTAACAATTGGCTCTCTGGTGAAATGGAAGCCCTAATTTGTACCATTTGTTAATTTTCATGTTGTTACTACCCCACCACGGCAGGCTTCAAGCCACTAGTTTTAGGTCAGTGAATGCGGAGTTGGGAGGAGATCTGCACAGTCAGCTCTCCTGAGCAAGTGCTGACGGGCTCTAGCACACCACTATCAATATTCACCTATTTCTCTTTCCCCCATTTATTCCAAGGAAGACTAATATTTGATGTGCTTGCTTTTAAAATTATCAGATATATTTATATATAATGCTTTTGGCAACAGGAAGAAGGGCTGCAGGTAGGGAAGGATATAAAGACTCTATGCTAATACTAAAAACTTAAAGTAATTAAAATGAAAGGTCAATGTAACTTAAAGTAATTAAAATGGAAGGTCAATGTAACAGATTTTCCAGGTATTAAAGCTGCAAAGAACTGTGCTTTTGGTATTGCTACACAAGATCTTAATACTAAATCCTTGGTTATGAAGGACAAAACCAATGTGGGTTGCCATAAGCATCAACTGTGCATAACTATAGGTGATATTGCCAATTGAATATGTTAAGTGTTAAGAAAATGGCTCTTGTCATACTAATTGCTAAATCCTACTTAGAAATCCATATTGCTAACACTGCCAGTTTATATTTTTAGATTTTTAGAACCTGTAGAAGGCTCTAACATATTACACCAATTGGGAAAAAAATGGGTTATACTACCACACAACGCAAATAAGCTCTTTATATTTCCTTCCTATGCACTGTATCACCAACTAGATTTGTGAGCATGAAATGGAACTCAATTATAGTGGTCAACAAAGGCATGTGAATATAGACAATACAATATGGATCAATACTCTGAAGTTCATTGGGGATTTTTATTAAAGGAAAAGTAATAGAATTAAAATAATTTTTATAGGGCAAGCTTAAAAAATTATGATATAACATTTTCACATATTCTGTGTAATGCAAGTCAGTAGTACAATATGGTATAAAGCTCTGAAAAGGAATCATGGAAATTTTACTACCAAATAATTTTGCTATGTCATTTAGAAAATTTTCTCAACTGGAAACCATGATATTCGTTTAAGTTTGAAAGAAAACTGTTGCCTTAAAAACTCTTAAGGTATTCAAAACACTTCATATTTTCCTCTGGGTTTTGTTGTTGGAATCTGACTGCCAGAAAGTACTATTTTACCCACACAAAATTCATGGCAGGGAGTTGTTCTCAATTACTTGCTCTCACCTCCAGGGCCCAGTCTGGCCACATTAGGTTTATTAAAGCTCAAGTCCAAAGCTGAAGGACTCTCTCATTTATCAAGATCCACCTTGGCATTTCTATCTGTCATTTAACTTACCCATGCTCTGTGCTTTAAGCTTCTGTGACTTCCTTATTTCTTGATTTGCCTTGACTCCTTACTACTCACTTACTTGTTTGATAAATCAAATTGACCTGGCCTGAGTTTATTTTGTTTGGTCCTTGGCTACCTCTTCTTTAACTTGACCTTTGTATTTCCATCTGTCCAACATTTTTGGCCTGCCAATTTAGATCCTAATGTTGTTTTCCCAATATTTTTGGTGATTTCTGATACTTATTCTTTTTAACTGGTTCTTGATTTCTGTTACCCAGTTTGAACACCTCTGAATCTAGAATCTTGCCTTCTCTGACTTTTGCTACATGGCTATGTGTTTACATTTTTTTCCAACTACCAATAATTTGGGCATCACTCTCTAGTTTTGACTATTGGCAGTTCTATATACACCTACTTTGGTCTATTCACATAGTTTCAGATTATTTGTTCCACCTTTACTTAGATCTGGTCCTTGAGCCCCTAACTTGCCTTGTCAAATCTTGGCTCTTCAACTTTCTTCCATTAGCTAGGACTGAAAATGACAGGGCTATTGATAGTTACTTTCAAATGATCATCAACTTTATGTGATCAAAAGTATATCATCTAGTAAATTACTGATCTATGGACCTCAGGTAACTCACTTTGCTTCCTTGTACTTTATTTTTCTTATCCATAAAAAGTGAAGGCAGGCTGGGTGCGGTGGCTCACACCAGTAATCTCAGCACTTAGGGAGGCCGAGCCAGGTGGATCACTTGAGGTCAGGCGTTGGGGACCAGCCTAGCCATCATGGAGAAACCCCGTCTCTACTAAAAATACAAAAATTAGCTGGTCATGGTGGTGCGCACCTGTAATTCCAGCTACTCAGGAGACTGAGGCATGGGAATCACTTGAACATGGGAGGCTGAGGTGGCAGTGAGTTGAGATCTCACCAGTGCCACTGCACTCCAGCCTGGGTAACTGAATGAGACTCTGTCTAAAAAAAAAAATAAAATAAAAAATGAAGGCAAAATGGTTTAAAAATGAGATAGGCTTTTTCCTTGTTCAATTTACTTCAAAGATAGCCTTTTCAATCCTTTCTGTTTTTAATGCAGAATGGTTTTTCAAAAGCTTTGCAAATGACTCTAGATTTTTAGGAGCCAATTTTTCCTTTCCTTCCTCAACCCATCCTACACCCCAAGTCATGGTGGAGCATAATAATTAGCTTTTTTGCTGTCTTTTTAATAACCACATGGATGATAAAGCATGTATCTAGGTGCTTCTTCAGAAATATTTTGCTTATTTGGGCGAAGGTATTCTCAATGTATCTCTCTTGATTTGAACTGAAGACTACTGTTCCTCTCAACTCCTCAGACGTTTTAATTCCCCTAGGGGATAAATGAACTTTCAGTTCATATGAGTGCGTGGTTGATATATTTGTATGTATTAAAGAGGATACTGATTTGAAGCATTTGGGGCTGGCCTACACTTCATAGTGCTAAATGGGTAACTCACCACATTCTAGACAAGTTATCTAGACTAGTAACACTCTTATGACCAAATAATTCACTTTGTACATCATCTTAAATCATTTTTCAGGAGCGCTGTTTACCTAGGATCTATCCACTCCAGCAAGTTAACATATAATCTACAGAAAATCCATGGAATTCACCTCCAGTAATAAATATTATGAAATCTATATGTGTGTATGATTCTGGAGAAAGGGTTCATGGCTTTGTCGTATTATCTAAAGTATCTTCAATCTCCCAAATGATTGAGAACCACTTTAAAATGTCAATACAAACAATTTAAACTTTCCAAAAAGTAAACTTCTCTTTTGATACCAATAGGATTCGAGTTGCTTTCAGAAGTCAATCAATATAAATATATAGGTTCCCTATATATTTGATAGCATGCTACAAATAAATTTCAATATGAAATTAGAGAAACATGAGTAAATTTCACCATTCACTCAAGAGAGAAATACATAAGTGGAATTCTTTCTGGATGTATACAAAATGTTTTTTTTTTTTTTTGAGGGAGGAGAGGTTTGTTATAGCAAAATTGCTAAATTAGAATACTTGATTCCCTGGTCTCTCACTTTATCCTGACATCATTAACATGAATAGGGGGAGAAACATTTGGAGCCATATCAGGGATATAACAGTAGACATGTCAGAAATAAAACTCTACTATGCAAAACCAGTCATTCTTATTCATAGCTCTAATTTTCCTAGATCCACTCAACTCAGATTCCCACCCCACGTTTAAGGACTATCACACTATTTTACATTCTTAAGTCTGTGGCTGTTCTACTAGACTGCATATTTTGAACACCAAAATCATGTTTTCATAAATTCTATGTAGCTTGCACATAATGAAAGCTAAATAAATATTTGTAGAATGAAATTGCCTCTATATCCCCTGCTTCCATAGTTATAACTAAATACAGTTGTTCTCAACCTTTACCATACATCAGTATTTCCTGGACAGCTTGTTAAAACACAAATTTCTTGGCCCTCCATTCACAGTTTTTGAATCTGTAGGTAGGGATCAAGATTTTACATTTCCAAAGAGTTCTCAGGTGATTTTGATGTTGCTGGTCCAGGGAAAACATGTTGAGAACTATTGGCTTAGTTAAAGTAGAAAAATAACCCAGAAATATTAGTAATACATCACTTCTGAAAAACCGTAGTGGCACTCAAGAATTGGTTTTATTTCAAAAATTTTCTAGGTGAACAAGTCATGTATACATTGTCTATAAAATGAGGTATCTTAATAAGTGAAATACAAAATAGAAATTTAGTGTTCTGTAGAGGCTATTTATGGAATAATTAGAGAAGGACAGTGTCTACTAATGATTCAGAAGGGTTTTCTATCATAGGGTTTACTTTTACCTGGCCACAGTAAGAGCAGAAAAGTTCCTTCAAATGGCATCTCCACTAAAACACTAATAACATGGCTGCAATGGATAATTGAAATCCACAGAGAAACCATAACTTTAACATGTAATTTAAAATTTATTTTCTTCTGCTCCAAATCAGAAGTATTTAAAAGGACAACACTTAATTTCAGCTTTCTCATCATTTTTTGGTGGACAACTTTGAATGGAGCTGTCAATAAGCTGTAAAAGGCCTAAAAGGTGGGCAAAATAAAAGTAAAAATCTGCCAGGTGCAATGGCTCAGGCCTGTAATCACAATGAATATTTTAGAAGGGCAAGGTGTAAGGATCACTTGAGTCCATGAGTTTGAGGCTGTAGTGAGCTATGATCGCACCACTGCACTCCAGCCTGAGTGACAGAGCAACACCCTGTCTCTAAAAATTAAAAAAAAAGAGAGAAAAGAAAAATAGAAGTGAATAAAAAAGCCTCAATAACCTACAAACAAAGCATAGAGACTCTGATTAATGAAAATCAGCTCTACTAGAAAAATTAATGTAACTTTAAGTAGATTGAAAGTTAGTTTTTTAAACCTAGCAATCCAATGGTTAGAGCTGTGTTCTGGGCTCATTTAGGCAGGTCTCACATATATCAATAAATGATTGTGTTGGTTAAAATGAACTTAAGAATAAATTCCTTATTAATTGGAAAATTAAGAAAAAAATTAAGTTGGGAGAACTTTCTTTGGTGTATGCAGTTTTATGTTCACCCAAAATGCACTGTGAACATGTTTTTTTCCCCCAATGAAGAATGGGAGAGCAGTAAATTGGTTATCTTTTATTAGTGGTACCCCAACCTAGATTCAGCTCCACCAGACTAAACCAAATCTTAAAATACCAAACTCACTTTTTTCTTTAAGGCATTTTCCTGACTAACTTCCTTCTGACATAATCCAAAAATCGGTAAATTTTGTGTTGAAATCAACTTTAGCAGTCACTCAATATAGATAATCCTTCAACGTTGCTGACTGATGGTCACTGAAACATTCCCAGTGATTGAGGCCTTTTGACTTTACAAAACAGTCTCTATCATTTTTGAACACTTGAATTTTAAGCTGAGACTTTTTTTTCCCATCAGTTATCCATTTTGGCCTTGGTAGTGCCCTCTGGAAAACCACAACATAAGTCACATTTGTCTTTGCTCAGCAGTCTTTCAAATATTTGAAGGTAGTTATATATTCTTGAGATCTTCTCCTCTTTAAGCTAAGCATCCTCAGCTCCTGGAGACTTGCCTCAAATCATGTATTTTTTAGATGCCTCATCATCCTGGTTTTTCTTCTCTAAATGCAGCTATTTGTGAATGTTTATTTTAAAATAAGGATAATCAACAGAAGAGACCAAGTGTGGTCTGACTAGGGTAGAGACTAGTAGAACCCTTAACTCTCTTGATTCAGATAATAACTTTTTATTAATGTAGTTTAAGTATGAATTATCTTGTTTAACAGCTTTGTTATACCAGTTCATATTGAATTTACAGAATTTTTAGATGAACTTCCCAACTTAGGTGTTTATTGCCCTTCCTGTACTTATGCAACTGATTTTTGTAAACCTAGAATCAAGACTTACTGTTTATCCATGTCAAACTTCATTTTATTGCATTTGTTTGTTGAGTCTTTTGAGATCTTTGAAATCTTGGTTAATATCCATGGTTTAATTATTCTACTTAGATACTTTTTACTTACAAGTTCAATAAACATGCTTTTAATTGATATATTGTGAACAGGACAGGTACCGGTATCTTAGGCATGTATTGAAAACATCTCTCATCCCTGAATACCTATTACTGCACTACACAATCTATGCTCTCCCCTATCTATTCATTCAACAAAGACCCATTGAGTGCCTACTTAATGCTAGGTACCACTACAACTCTAGGTACTGGAGATATAACAGTAATAAGAGAGGCAACTTCCTACCCCCTTGAACTTTTCATTCTGTTGGGGAAAGGCAAAATAACTAACCAACAAAACTAATAATGTATTTTTCCATAGTGATATGAGAAAAATTAAGCACAGCAAGAAGATACAGGAGACAGATAATTGTGGTGGTGGTGGGGCAATGCTATTTTAAATTGATTGGTCCATGAAGTCCCATCTGAGAAGGTAACATTTTAGCAGACAGCCTGAATTATGTGAAGTATGCTATGTGAAGATCTGGGGAAAGAGTTTCCCAAGAAATAATAGCAAATGCAAAGTCTCTGAAGAGGAAATAGGCATTCCAGAGAGAAAACAGATAACCAAAAAGACCAGAGTAGCTACAGCATAATGAGCCAGGGCAGGAACAAATGGTGGGAAATACACCATAGAAAGGACTTGGGACTTTATTGTTAATGTAATGAGATGCATTTGGAGGGCTTTAAATCAGGTAGTGATATGGTCTGATTCAAACTTTATAAAGAATATTTTGACTGATGTTAAGAGAAACTTTTGAAGAAGGACAAGAGTGGAAGAAAATAAACGATGTAAGATGCTTTTGCAGTATTTCAAACTAGAAGTTACAGTGACTTTAGTGTAACGGTGATAGAGGAGGTACAGAGTATTCAGATTTGGGGCCTAATTTGAAGGTACAGTCTTCAAACATACTAGTGGCTTAGCTACAGAGTGAGAGGGGAAAAGAGGAAGGAAAAATTGGATTAATTTAATTGCCTCTATTTGTACTGTGATTTCATACAAGTCTTCTTGTGTCTTTGCATTATAAACCCTTCAAGGGTAGGGACTCTGATCCTTTTTCTCATATCACTTCAGTTTCAGGTAATTCATAAACGTAATTTATGAATACGTTAATCAATTATCAATAGGCTTTTTCTGAATCCTCCACTTTACCCATATAATTCCTTCTTTGAAAGTCTCATATTTCATCATTTTTAACACCCTAATCTAGGGGTGTGTCACCTAGAAGCTGGGTTAGCATTACAACTGTCTAACTGGTCTCTCTCACTCCAGCCTATCGCAATGTTACTGAAAATGCAAATTAATGACTTGAAAAATGTGCTTTCAGTCATTCATTCAATACGTACTTACTTATTTGTCTACTTTGTATTTAGAGGCTTTCTAGATTTGAGGGATATAATAATAAACAAAACAGACAAAAATCCCTGCCTTCATAGAGCTTACATTTGCAATAACTAAATATATAAAATACATTTAATAATAATAAATACTATGAAGAAAAATGAAACAGAAAAAAGGGTATAGAGAGTGTTAAGGATATCACAATTTTAAATAGGAAAACCTCTTTAAAGAGGTTGCATTTGAGCAAAGATTTCAATCAAGTGATGGAGTAAGTCATATAAAGATCAGACAGTACAACAGTACAGGGTCACTGCTGTGGACATGAGCTTGACTTGTTTGAGAAATAGAAGATTAATATATTTGTGAATTAGTGGCTGAGTGACAGGAGGTGAGGTCAGAAAGATGGCGGAGGCCAGATCATTTAGGGCTTTGAGGACATGGTAAGAAATCTGCATTTTATTGTATATGTGAAAGGAAACCATTGAACAATCTGAAGTTGAGCATAATCTGGCTTTTGTTTTAAAAAATCACCTAAACTCCTCTGTAGATAATTGACTATAGAGGATTGAGGTCACATGCTTTATGGCTTTTGGTGGCTTTTAATCAAATAAAAGTTATCTGCCTATTTTCAAAGGCTTTTATTATTAGCCAATTCCATCTACCACTAGTCCTCAGCATATGCCCTCTATTTGTCAAGCTGATTTCATCATGGGCTTCCTCACATCATATGAATTTATACGTCTCTACCTTTGCCTATCTTTCCCCTTTAAGACGGTGACTTCCATCTGCTCTTATCCACCATTCAAGAACCATCTCAAGTTTTAATTACATAAAATGCTTCCCTGACTTTTCACCTCACTGATGTCTCCAATAATTAAATAATGTAGCTCTTGTCTGTAGTTAATGACTGAGCACATGATCATGTACTTTATTTTATTGTTGTGAATATTTACTGTGTGCTAATCTTGTCTTCCAAACGATGTTGCAAGTTCTATGATAGCAGAGAATCAATGAATTCTATATCTCTCATGGCATCCAGCAAATCTGGGAAGTATATCAAGTGACTGTTAAATGATGTAACATGTGGCTTGACTTCTTTTCTGGAATGGTATAATGGTGATCACCCAAGAAGCTTCTGCCAGAATAGGAATTGAGGTTGGATGAATAAAAACCATAGTTTCTTTCCTCAGTCATCAGAGCCAACCAGTCACGTATAATAGTACACTTGCTTTTACTGTAAAATTCTAAAGGCTCGATGGACACCTTATTGATTTTAGTAAAACTGAATATTTACCTGTCAATCGAACACTGACCACAAAGGACTGTATTTCCTTATGCTATCATTTGATTTTGGCAGCATGTAACAATTTTGTTAAAACCCAATGTCAAGTTGGAAGGCCAGGCAGCACCTGCTCAAATGGCTGGCATGTAACTACTATAGTCACAGGGATGCTCGGTGTTCACAGCTATTCAGGAAGGTATAGAGAGCCCTGGCCGTAGATGTAGCTGATTTGTGTGAGGAAGAGGCAGTCCAGTTGCAGGCAGCCATCTCTCTTCCCCCCTCCCAACTCTTGGGTTCTGGGCTGAGGCCAGGGACTGTCCTGAGCTGATCGCAGGCTCCCATTGGCCGCTGTCTTTTGTGACGTCACGATCATGATGAGAATTGATGATCGGACACGCTGATTTCATTGTCTGAAGCGGCACTGGAGACCCAGGAAAAATCTCGCTGAATCCGCCTGCCCCAGCAGCGGCCTGATCTGGGTTCCGCTGATTCCTTTCGTAACCGCACCACACCCGAGGTAAGCACTCAACACTAAGTGGGTGAGAAGGGCGAAGGAGGGAGGGCAAAGCACCGGGATAATGCTTTTCCTAGTTTGGGGCGAGGTTGGGGGTGGGGGGGTCCATAGGTTCCGTGGCCTAAACAGGCAGACAAAAAACTGGTGCGGATCCTAGGGAGCCAAGTGCCTCTATCCTCCTAGCGAAGGCTGGCGGCTGAGTGAGATTAGAAACGAGCTGCGGATAGGGATACAATGGGGATTGCCAGAGAGCGAAGGACCTTGCTCGGAGAGAGAGCGATGTTTGGGACGCGCTTCTGGACGGGTAGTAGGAGGAAGTGGCGCCTCTGCCTCCGAAGAAAGGAGGGGATTGAATTCTACCACTTCTAGATTTCACTGGACAGTAGATTTCTCACAGCCCTACTCAAAGGCACTGAGAGCGTAGCGCCTGCGCATTAGCACCTTGGTGGGGGCGGGGTGGGTCACTGTGAGGAGAATAGGCGTGGAGTTTGCACAGGCGCTGTTTCGGTTTCACTGGAAGAGGTGGGGCTGAGCCATTTCTGTGCTGAATTTGGAAAGTAGAGACCCAGGGAACATCCCAGGCCTTGTGATGTTTCAAGCACCAGTTGATGGGGAGAGATCTGCCATTTAGTTTAAACTGGCCTACTGAGTAAATCCAGCTTCAAAATGAGCCTTATAAATTTGAGAAGGCACATTCTAAATTTCCAGATATTAGATGTTGAATAACGGAATGAACTCTAGAAGAATTTGTGAAATAGAAGTTTATCAGATAAGAAACTGTTTGGAAAAATAAACACTAATTATTCAAATGAATCTAACTTTTAATCTTAAAGGAGCTCTGATTTGAGGTGACAATGATTTTGAACCTTAAATTCTTTGGAAAGACTCAGAATGAAGTCCATTGTGGAGGCTCAGAGTAAGAAATTTTCCTTTCTTGCCTTTTTCTCTTCTTGGGACAATCTCTTATAAATATTTAGTCTCCATATCAAGTTTGGTGCTGAGTCCATCTTCTTCCTCTGTGTCTCTGCTAGAATCACTGAAGTCAAATATTATTTTGAGAAGCCCTTTCCCGCACCCCTTCATTGGGAAGGCTGTTATATTACTTATATTAAGGCTTTTATTACTCAGCAGTTGTGGGGAACAATGAAGAACAACCTGCCTGTCTATTATTGATGAATAGATTGTACAGTATTGTTATTAATTGCCCTCCACAGTCTGATCATAGACTCCTGACAATTTTACAGAGGAATCTGGATTTTTCTCTATTTCTCATAGTTAAGGGATTATCAAGTACTGGTAAATTTTCCTTTGAAAGCCTTCTCACACGTTCCTCCTTTACAATCTAAATTCTCATCAGCACCCATGTAGTCACTGTAGGAGCTTCCTAGGCAGTCTTCACCTGTGCCCCAAATCCTTAGTGGTCTGTGAACACTTCTTTCAACAAATCACTTTCTTTAACCAACATATTCTTGGCCCCTTATTTTCTATTGTTTCAAGCCTAATTCCACCCGAATTTTAAAGAACTTCATAATCTGGCCTCATTGTAATGCAGGAGCCTTATTTTCCTTTATTCTTCAGGGCACAACTCTCTTTAATGTTCAGTTAGTGAGAACAATCTACCTTTATATCTTTGCTCCTTATACCATTACTGTCCCCTCCACGTAGGATGTCCTCCTTCTACATAATTCACATCTTACCCACTTTGGAAACTCAACTCAAATTCCACCCCTCCACAAGTGCCTTCCAAATTAATCTAATGCAAGTGTTACTGACCTCACTTTTCCTAGAATTCCCACGTCAATTATTGTCTTTGTTAGTTGCTTGTAGGCTGCTTTGTATTGTCTCCTTTGTTATTGTTGTTGTTGTTGTTGTTGTGTGTGTGTGTGTGTGTGTGTGTGTTAGACTGGAATCCTCAAATGGATTTTAAACCCTTCCTTAAGGGTTGGGACCATGACATCCATTTCTTTATTATCTGCCCATAGCACCTAACTGAATAATCAAAATAGCTGTAGCTATATATGTTCTTTTTTTTTCCCCTAGAAAACAATTTCCTGGGAAATGAAGCAGTATTTTTATAGAGAGAACTGTATACATGTGAAAGCTTATTCATCGTTGGTCAGGCAAGAGACCCTCCAATGACTAAATAAACCTGAATTTAAGTCAGAGGAAAGAAATTACACAGATCTCTATTTACTGGGTGGCCTTCAAATATATCATGTCCTCATAAACAAGATCAAGGGAGGGAACACTATCCCAGAAGAGGTTCTGTCTGTAATCTTCTCAGTTTGAAAAATACTAAATAAAGAGGTATTCCACTGTTCTATACTTCTCTTTGGTGACATTGTATCATGTATCTTTAAAAATACACAAATTACTCACTTTTTATTACATTTTATCTACAATTGCTATCTTATATTGATTATTCCTGATAGTTTTCATGTGTACATCTCTTGAATCAGAGATGACCTTTGTGATGGTTGTTACAATTGCTATTATATATTGGTTGTCACTTTCCTATCCTTCAGGCTTCAAATTGCATTCTTCTGCAGAGCTCGTTTTACTTGAATGACAGTGTGATTATGGTTTCATACAGAGGTTTTTCACATATTTCACTTTGGCTCCTGCCTCACTTTGAGGTACCATCCCAATATCACATAAAAGTTTTTGACTTAGAAACATAGATTAAAAGCAGTCTGAAGGGTGTTTTAACCTGTAAATTAGAACATCATTATTGTAGATAATTGTAAGTGAACCATGAATGTTATTCATTGTAAGGGAAAATCCTTTGACCTTTTCTCTGATTACCTATATTATATGAAACTCCTCAAAGCTGTTTTAGCTTATAGCCAGCTTTCATAGTAATTGAGACTTTCCTAGACATTTACACATAGACCAATAGAGAAAACTGATCAAACTTAAGCAACTCTGGATAGAATGTGGTGCTTAGAAATATGCTGTTAAGTTTAGAGAGCCCAAAATAAAATATGAAAAAAACTGAGTGTGACATGCGTTTTTTAAGGCTTGTTTTACAATTTCTATCTGGGAGGATGACATTGGGTTTTCTCATTTAAGTTGTAGAGTTTAAGTTGGGAGAGATTTTATAGTGATAAGCCAATCCCCTTATTTTACAAGTAAAGAATCTGAAGCCCAAAGAAGTGAGGTACTTTACTAGCATTAATAAACACTAATATTTATTAAGCACTTAGTGCCAGGCATTGTGCTAAAAACTTTATATATCTTATTACATTTAAACATCACAAAATCTATATGAAAGAGTGTATAGTATTATTTCCCATTTTACAAATGAGAAAACATATTTCAAAGCAGTTGATTTTCCCAGGACCACACAGCTACTATACGTCACAGTCAAGACCCAATCACGGGTTTGACTTCTAATCACCAAGTTATGCTTGACTAAGGTCAATATAATGAACTTTTGGCAGAGCTTTAGCTAGGATCTAAATCTCTGGAATCTGAGATGTGTGTGTGTGTGTGTGTGTGTGTGTGTGTGTGTGTGTGTGTGCATACATTCCATAAACACCATATTACTTCTACAAAGTTAGAGATTTGTAAGATTACCCAAATAAATGGTGTATACCTACATTTGTTTTAGATATTTTATTAAAACACACTCTCTCAGTCTTGATTGAAAAAATATAGCATGAAAATTTGCATAAAATACATTTTAAAAACATTTATTTCCTTCTGCTTTTAAAATTGTATCATACTTCCAGAGGGAATTATATTTTTATAGTGTAATCTCCAACAGAATAAATAAAATTTGAATTGTTGATTTTTATTTTATTGTGGAGTCAGTGAGCTAAAACTGAAATTGGTGGTTTCTTAATATACTTGTATTGAGTACACTATATCTAGGTACACTAGTTTGGGAGCAAATATCGATAATTCTAGAGATATATTATGCATAAGAAGGGAGCTTGAGACACTGGCATATTCAGAAGCTATCACTGATATCCTAATACCTTTCCATTCTGCATAAAATTTTAAGGAAATAAGTTGAAACCTGTCTGTCCAAATGAGGTCATTCTTGTGCCAACTAGTGGCAAAATTGCCTGGATTAAACCAGAGATCTAGGTATAAGGCAACTGGATACATGAAATTATACTGTTAGTCAATTAAATGCTTCACCTTACATCTTCCATCTGTAAAGAAATCTAGAACAATATCTGTCTTACCTTTTGTTTCACAAAAGGTGTCCTATTATTTAACAACTAGACATATGTGCATTTGGGTTGATCCTTAGAATCTTTGAGGCTATTATTGTCAGGGTGGCAAAATTTAGCAAACTATCTCCTTAGCTTCTTTTCCCTTGGAGTTAGGGACAGTTTCTTTCAAGCTTCTAAAAACAGTCATGCAAACATGTGGCTTATATACTCCCCTAAGCACTTTTGTTATTAGGCAAATATTAGTGTATGGTGCTCATGCAAGGTCATATACTACTAAGTGGCAAAGCCAGGATTTGAGGGCAGGTGTTATTCTAGACACTGTATGCTCAACTGTTAAGCTACCAGGTATAAGTTAAGGAGCTACAGTGAGGCCTATCTTCATTGTTTTTCAAAAAATTTATGTGTATACACACACACACACACACACGTATATGTAAATTCATACACACACACACACACACACACAGTCATATAACATGTATATTTTCCCCTAGTTTCTTTTCTCCTTCTGAACCTCTAATACCTGTAATATTTTCCTTTTTTTTTCCTTAGTGGAGATGACATTTTTTACATAAATAAAGGCTGAAGTTAAGGGGAAAGGGCTCATTGTGCTGACCTCCAATGGCTTCACTGGCAGAAGGCACATAAACCCATATTCTTTCTTACTGTCAAACCAACCAATGTTGAAAGCACTTCATGAGTGGATTTTATTAAAACATAGATTATATTATTATATAACTTTTCTAATACACTAATTTAATGATTCAATATTTTCTTATTTGGCTAGCTTAATGTACCTATTGTATGTTTTATGGATGGAATAGCTGTGCCATTTAAGAAAGTAATTATCTGAGATGCATTTTCAAAATAGCTTTGCCCTTTCATAGACCGAAAATTTGTTGTGTTGAAATCCCCTTGTACTAATTTGTTTCCACACTGCTATAAAGAACTTCTCGAGACTAGGTAATTTATAAAGAAAAGATATTTAACTGACTCACAGTTCCACATGGCTGGGGAGGCCTCAGGAAATTTACAATCATTGTGGAAGTTGAAAGAAATGCAAGGCACGTCTTACATGGCAGCAGGAGAGAGTAAGAGCGAGGTGGGAACTGCCAAACACTTTTACACCATTTCACTCATGATCATGAGAACAGCATGGGGGAAACCGCCCCCATGATCCAGTCATTTTCCATCAGGTTACTCCCTCCACATGTGGGGATTACAATTCCAGATAAGACTTGGGTGGGGACACAGAGTCAAACCATATCACCTCTCAACAAAGCAACAATTGGAAGAGATCCAGGCATTGTAAAATGTGGAAGAAGAAATATATTCTGTAATAGTGGGAAATATTACATTAGGTATTAGAATGCTCAGTCCTGACTCCTCATTATTCTAAGACAAAAGTATAGCCACATGAATTTATTTTTGAATATCTATGTTAGTTAATAAAGTAATGAGTCAGACACTTTATTTAGGCTCACTTCCATCACTAATAAATGGTTAAAAGATGCTGGAAGTCAGTTTGAGATTATTTTTCTTCTCTCAACTAGTAATACTGAATGCAGAGAGAAACATTTTGAATTCAGTATTGTTTGTGATATGGAGCCTCAGGTAGGGATTGTTGAATCCCTCCCTTGCTATTCAAAGTGTGTTCCATAGAGTGGTAGCATGAACACCACCTGGGAGATGCTTAGAAACTGCAAAATCTCCTGGCCCCACACTAGATATACTGAATCAGAATCCGCATTTTAACAAGACCTCCCAGTTACTTACTAATATGTATATTAATGTCTGAGAAGAACTGAAGTAAAGTGAAATCTTACTTCCTGTACAACAGAGACTTTTAAGAGCTGGTGGTCATAGAAACAAAAACTTGAATTTTCTTTTGTCTGTTTTCGCATTTGTAAAGAAATATGCGATCTAAGCATTCTCCATTATACATTGTATGACAAATACAGATCAGCTTTGTTCCATTCTGAAGTATGCATTGTATCATTAAGAGAAAAAAACTACACCAATGTCATAGGTAAAATCGCTAAGCCTCTGAGTATATCCACTCACATTGGTGACAGCAATGGCTTTACCATTGAAATGATATTTATCCTAATTACTTGACTTTTCAACAGAGTGTTACAGAAGAATATAGTTGTATTGGGTTCACTGTCACCAACATCCTCAAGGGGAATGGTATGTTGTCTCTTTGCTGCCATAATATATCACCACAAAATTATTGCCCTAGAACAACCCAAATTTATTATCTTATGGTTCCAGAAGGCACAAGTCTGAATGGGTCTTTTTGGGTTAAAATAAATATGTCAGCAGTACTTTCCTTTTTGGCACCTCTAGAGAAGGTTTTGTTTCCTTGGCTTTTCCAACTTTTAGAGGCTACCCCCAAAAACAAAAGCAAAATTTTTCCTACACTGACAAAATCTATCTTTGGATCTCTGTTTGAGATATTCTGCCTTAAGTATCTTTTGTTTTTGTTTTATTTTTTTCATTTGAAGAATAAAGGAGGAGTTTTACCTGTGGCTATCAGATTTGGGGTTCTACTCTATGAGACTTTTAAGTCATTATGCAATTTCTTTATTTTTATTTTTTTGACAAGAAGTCTGGAGCATGATTACATTATGCATTTTCTTACTCTTTAAAGTATTTGTGGGGATAATCCTTCATTATTTGATTGGCAAAAATATATATGTTTATAGTGTGTAACATGGTGATTGGATATATGTACACATTGTGGAACAGCTAAATCAAGCTAATAACAAATCAGTTACCTCACATACTTATTTTGTGGTGAAAACATGTAAAATCCACTCTCTTAGCAATTTTCAAGCATCCAATACATTGTTATTAACTGTAGTCACCATGTTATACAATAGATCTCTTGAACTTATTCTTCCTGTCTAACTAAAATTTTGTATTCCTTGATCAACATCTACCCAATCCCTCACTGTTCTCCAGCCTTGATAACTACCATTCTACTCTCTGCTTCTATGAATTTGACTTTTTTTTTTTTTAGATTCCACATATGTGAGATCGCGCAGTATTTGTCTTTCTGTGCCTGGCTTATTTCACTTAATATAAAGTCCTCGAGGTTCCCCTATGTAGTTGCAAATTACAAGATTATTTTTTCTTTGTCAATGCTGAATGGTATTCCATTTTGTATATATGCCACATTTTCTTTATCCATTCATCTGTTGATAGACACTTAGGTTGACTCCGTATCTTGGCTATTGTGAATAATACTGCAGTGAGTGAACATGGGAGTGCAGATATATCTTCAAGATACTGATTTTATTTCCTTTGGCTATATATTGAGAAGTGGGATTGCTGAATCATATGTGGTAGGAGTTCTATTTTTAATTTTTTAGAGACCTCTATACTGTTTTCCATAATGACTGTACTAATTTAAATCCCCACCAAAGTTGTACAAGAGTTTCCTTTTCTCAATGGGGATAAATTTATGCTTTCACATTTTCATTGTCTAAATACATGTGTGTTTGTATGTTGTTTCTACACTATATATGTGTATGTTTATATAATGTTACCTACTTACCACTTGATGGTGTACTTTGAGGGATATCCCCCTAACCTCTAATGTGTGACTAAATCTTTTTCCCCTTAATTTGTGCAGGTTGATGTAAAATCAGGAATGAGAGTTGTAAGATAATTAAATAGTCTATCTCTTTGTGTATGTACTTCCCTCATTAGTAAGTTAAAATACAACCTACATTTTAAAAGTATTAACAAGACTGTGATTTGCAAGATTGTGAAATGTTAGCTTTCAATGGTTGTGGCAGTACAAACACTCTCCAGTGAAACATAGAAGTGATTTACCTGCACATTTTTTAGGGCTAGAAATGTACAAAGAAACACAATTTATTGAAACAAAATTTACTCAACGAATATGAATGAATCAAGGTACTACTTAGCTCATTCGGAGACGCTGTATATCACTGGTCATTAGTGCCATATATCACTGTCATATATTTTGTATGGATGGATGCATGTGGGATTACATAAAAACAGAGCCAAAGGAAATAGTCATTCAGTTGAGTCCCTATTTATGTTTTTGTCATTCAGCTGTTTATCCATTTGAAATTGATCTTTTTACTTTTTTTTAGTATTTTTAATTTTTTTATTCTTAAATTTTGTGGGTACATAGTAGGTGTACACATTTATGGGGTACATGAGATATTTTGATATAAGCATGCAGTGCATAATAATCACATCATGGAAAATGGGCTATCCATTCCCTTAAGCGTTTATCCTTTGTGTTACAAACAATTCAGTTATACTTTTTTAGTTATTTTAAAATATATAATTAAATTATTTTGACTATAGTCACCCTGTTGTGCTATCAAATACTAGGTACTTATTCTTTCTGATATCTGATGGTATGATTAGGTATTTATAGTTTTAGGTGTATATTATTTGAACACATTACCATGTGAATAAAGCAAGTGTCATTAAAGGCTAATACATTTTTATCATTGATTAAACATTCTGAGATCCAGTATATTTACTTGCTAATGCATTTATTTGGTAGAAGCTTTCTTTAGAATTTAGTCATTAGGGATGTAGCTATAGACATATATGTCCCTTTATATTTTCATATATTTATGTGGAGTATGTGTACATAAAATTTTCTTGCAATTTGTGTTCATGTCACTATGAATATGTTTTATGTAGCTGGCAAAACTGAATATTAATTACATAATTTTAAGTGTGTTTTAAAGCGAGGTCAGTGAACAATTTCTTTGTGCCCTGAGAAAATCATATGATAAGTTTTTATTAAAATCTCCTTTTGTTTCTATTTTCACCTAAGCAATATAAGTTAGTTTTATCTCTAAAAAGACAGATAAGAGATGTGTACAATACATTTCAGTAAATTCTAGCTTAATAAACAGATAATATACTCTCATAGTATTAGAATAAACAGATGTCTGTCACTAGACTTTATGCTTTGAAGATGCTGGAATTTATTTTTTACAATATCTAAAAACTTGGTGAGATGATTTTAAAATAAAGTAAATAGAGAGGTGAATCCCCATCTCTACTAAAATACAAAAATTAGCCGGGCATGGTGGCCAGTGCCTGTAATCTTAGCTACTCGGAGGCTGAGGCAGGAGAATTGCTTGAATCCAGGAGGTGGAGGCTGCAGTGAGCCGAAATCGCGCCATTGCACTTCAGCCTGGGCAACAAGAGCGAAGCTCCATCTCAGAAAAAAAAAAAAAAAAGCTTTTTGTAATATTAAATTTGTACTAAAAAATTCTGGAGTGGCTTCCATGCATATGTGGACACGATGCTATTTGTTGGGCTTAACTTTCACATTCTTAAACATTTTGAAAGATTAAACTCTTATTGCATAGACAGGGATCTCAGGATCAGTCTTTTTTTTGCCATCATAATATCATAATGTACATATCCTTCATTTGAGGTTCATATATAAATTGTGTAGGAGTGGATTGATGTACTTTAAAAGAGTTATTCGCAGTACTGATGGCCAGTTGATGATATGTTAACTAGTAACAAAAATAGGCTTGGCGTAGCACATTACAGTTTATTAAGTATTTTAATGAAGATGACACATCATTTGAAGAAGAATAGGACAGGTTTTATAGTCCCATTTTCCAGATGAAGGAACTGAGGTTCCAGAGGTCAATTATCTCTGCTAAAGTCACAAGACTAGCAAGTAATGAAGCTTAAGAGCTTAATAGGATGGAGGTATCCAGACTCCTAAAGCATTCCCACTCCACCACTCCAAAAGGTCACCTGAATTTCTGCTTGTAGCAATGATGAAGTAACAGTAACAGGATTTCCTCTTTTACCTTAAATATCTAAACACAAACAAACAAACAAACAAAAACAGAAAAAAATAGAAAATAATGAATTTTAGACCTTTGACAAAAGGCAGCACAGGACCATGATTCTTGAGAGAAGGGAGACAAGATGAGCCTTATGAATGTCCCAACTTACTGCCTTGGGAAAGTTTCCAGACAATAGCTCAGGTGAAAGGAGCCCAAAAAGGCTAGGAGTCTCTCTGTGTTGAGAAGACATAGTTCAGAGTTCAGAAAGTACAAGGGTGCCTACAATTTGAGGAACAGTGTACTGGAGAGAACATTGCACAGTGAAGGAGAAAACTGCATATGGAGAGAGCTTCAGAAATCTGCTGAGGGACCCTTCAAGTTTCTGAATAATGATCAGCTCAAGTGTGTGATGAAACTGATGAGGACAGAGAAAGAACCACAATAAAGAAACAGGCAAATCAATCCTCAGAACTCACGGAGGACCAGGAATAGTTATGTTCCCACTAGCCAGATTGGAAAACATCATATTTCAAGAGGCATTTAAAAAAGTCCTCACAAGGGTATTGCCTGAGTAATGGAGCAAATTAGATCTAGAATAAAGGCAATTCTAGATTTGCCTGACAAAAGCAAACTTCAAAAGAACCAAACCAATTCCTAGTAACTTAAATATATCCCCAAACAAAGGCAAACATATTCAAATACTACAAAAACAGACAGTACCCAAAAACAAGATTTATAATATCTGATTTTAAACGAAGAATTACCAAGCATGCAAAGAAATAGGAAAATATACAACCCATATTCCTGTGAGAAAGCAATAAGAAAAACAGAATAAAAAAGGGTGTGAAATTAGTAGAGAAGAATTAAAAAACAGCTATTATTTCTGCAATCCATATGTTCAATAAGGTAGAAGAAAGCACAAGCAAGATTAGAACAAAATAGATTTTTTTAAAAGATCCACATTGATTGAAATTCTAGAGACAAAATATAGCATATGAAATGGCAAATGCACTGGATAGTTTTAACAGCAGATTAGCTACTGCAGAAGAAAAAATATAGTGAACTTTAATACATACAAATAAAAAGTATTCAAAATGAAAAGTAGAGAGAAAAATATGAGAAATAAATGAATGGAGCAACAATGAATTGTGAGCCAATGTCATTCAACCTACCATCCATATTTTTTGAGTCACAGAAGGTGGGAAGTAGAAGAAAATTATCTAAAAACGAACAGTTGAAAATTTTACAAATTTGATGAAATCTATGAACCCACATACCCAAGAAGCTCAATATATCCCACAAATAAGAACGATGAAGAAAATGGCACCAAGGTATTTCATACTCTAATAATTGAAATTCATAGAAAAGAGAAAATCTTAAATGCAGCCAGAGAAAATAACTGCACTTTATGTATAGGAGAACAAATATGACAATGGTAGGATATATCTCACGGAAACAATGCAACACAGAAAACAATGGGGCAACATTCTTAATGTGCTGAAAGAAAAAAATAAGTTAACTTAGAATTTTATATATAAAAAAAGCAATATAAAAGTATACATATGTAACAAACCTGCACGTTGTGCACATGTACCCTAAAACTTAAAGTATAATAATAATAAGATTTAAAAAAATTATAAAAAATAAATTTAAAAAAAGTTCATCCACTCATACCAAAGTATAAAATACATCCCTAGCAGATATACATTATCAAAACTGTTAAAGGAAATCATCACACCGAAGAAAAGTAATACCAAATTGAAATTTTAACATACATAATGGAAAGGAGAGTACTGGAAATAGTAAATATGTGGGTACAAATGAAAGATCTTTTAATTTATAAAATCATTTTAAGCAATAACAATTTAATTTTTAAAATAACAACTTATTTGGGATTTAGTAGCATTTGTAAAAGCAAAATGTGTAGCAATAATAGCACAAAGGCCAGTAGAGGAGAAATAAAAGGATAATTTAGTGGATACGTAGAAAACTTGAAATCTATTACTTGAGGGTCACTTTAACAAAATACTAGTAGAAGAGCAAATTAAGCTCAAAACAAGGATAAAGAGGAAATGATAATGCTAAGAGCATAAATAATTGATATAGAAAACAGAAAAGCAATGAACAAATGCAATGAAACCAAATGTTAGATCTTAAGAGAAAAAAAAAGGAGAGAGGACACAAATTGCCAATATCATAATGAGGGAGAATGTACCACAATAGACTGTACAGACATTAAACAGTATACTCACAAAGTTAACCTACATGACTATACATTCCATAACTTAAAGGAAATGGACCAATTTCTTAAAAGTTGGAAATTACTAAAATTAATTGTAAAAGAAAAACAGTAACTTAATATTTTATATTTAATTAGAGAAATTGAATTTTTAATTAAAATCTTCCTTAAAAGAAATCTTCAGACCCAAATTGCTTTACTCATTAATGCTACAAAGCATTTAAGAAATAAATAATATGAAATCTACACAAAAGTTTTTTAGGACACAGAAGTGGAGGTAATACTTTGCAACTCATTTGAGCACTTATTATGTCCAAGGCATTGTTCTAGAAGCTGGTTAATTAAAAAGATGAAAATTTGCTTCCTGTAATACAGAAGCTTATAGTATGTGAGACAGAGAAGGAACTCTCTCCCTCTACCATACACTTAGGTCTGCCTGATTGGTTAAGGCAGAGCAAAGCAGATTATCTTGCATTGTATAGACAGTTGAGTTTAAAACTCTTTCTTTGTAAAATCAGCAGAGGTGAACTTGGCCCACTGATTTCCCTTTGTCTATCACTGGTACACAAAAATTGACAGACTGACCTGGGAGTGGAATACCAATGTTTGTTCTATCCAAGAGTCCCCAACCTCTACAACAACTCTTTCCTTCTCCCAACCAAAACCCCGCTTGCTCTGTGTTGTTAAGAATAATTTAATATTTCATCTAATGTTTTTATTTGCCTTATTTACTAAATATTAAGCAAAAGATGGCAGTTGTTTTGTTTACTAAACAACTATTGCCATAAATTGTACTTCACCACAACCATATGTCCACATGGTAGAGAGGTTGATTTTAATCCAACTTTCCATTCCACTACTGCTCAGTTCATGTGTGAAATAAAATAGCCATTTTAACTACTATAGATCATCACTAGAGTAAAAGGGCACAGTAGTAATCCTTCACATATATCATTCCTCCAGCAAATCCAAGAAAATAAGTGTCACAAAATCTACAAGGTAAGGCCCAAATGATAGAGTCATGAGTAAACCTCTCAGGCCTTTCCTGAAAATTCTGGTCTTTTACCAGATTAGAAAAAACAAACTAATGAAAAACAACAAAACCCGGCAAATTAAGAGTGAGAGGGAATTGCTAAAGGCAAGCCCACTGACAGCATGACAAACGATGACAGACAAGGAGAGTAAAAGAGAAACTATAAAAAGGATATGCAAAAATTTTAATGTGTTTTAATGAAGAGACAGACACCGTATCACAATTATTAGAACACCATTTATTAAATTATGTTTATAATGATGACCCATTCTTATAAAAACACTTTATTTTTCTATTCCCTGTTTAACAACTCAAGAGAGTGAATAAGGTAGTTCAGAAATATTTTCATCTAAGATGAAAACTTATGAAAAATAAAATTTTATTGCTCAAAGGAGTATACACTTTAGCTTTCCAGAATGACTAATTTCCCAAAATATCTTAGAAATGGAAGTATAGTGGCAACTGGGGAATTTTCATATGTCTTCATACCAAATTATGCAGAACAACTAGAGACTATACAATTAAACATGAAGCATTTATTTTTGTGGCCAAGAAAATTAAAATGCCAAGAAAAAATGCCTAGAAGTATATTATTACTAATGTCTTTTATTTGCTTCAAAACATTTCTAATATTTAATTTATTCAAAAGTGTAGTTATTTGTATTTTCATATATAAAAGCTTCTGAGAAAGACGGAAAACTGGTTGTGTGTGTGTGTGTGTGTGTGTGTGTGTGTGTGTGTGTGTTTTAGATTTTAAACCAGTAATATCAGCCCAAAAGTATTGCTCTTCAGCAAGGGTTAAATAAATATAGCTTTGATTTGACTTAAAGTTCCTTAAAGTTTAGTTTGATCTAAATTTTAAAAATGCAGTGCTAGACTTCCGATTCTGACCAACATGAAGTAAGCCCACTATAACCTTCTCTCCTGATTATTACAGCTACAATCTCTGGACAAAATTTTAAGAGAAACTCCCTCAGAACTCCTAAAGGTAAACAAAAGCAGGCAGATTGAGGATGGCAGTCAGAATATGAAGTGACCATATATGGGTGAGTTTCCCAGTTTTCCCCCATTTCTCTTGAGACTTTGACCCAAGGCTGGATCCATCTCATGGAACTATGGAGCGGTACATTACTGGCTAAAACTGCAATAGCAGCTGGCAGTCCCAACAGTGTGAGAGTAAATTCTGAGTCAGTTTCATTCTCTGTCTTTCACTTCCACTTTTTAATCAATGGTGGCTCCAGTTGCAGAGCTATGCTGCAGTGACAATAGAACAACTAAAATAAACTCTAAGGGAAACCCTATATTTCTGTCTAGAGGACCAGGAAAAGTGGCCCTTGCAGGCTGTACAGTGAGTGGAGAATCATGGAGAGGAAAGAGTTGAGGAAGGGGATCTTTTAATACTGGGCATCAACCTGTGGAAAGCTTAAGCTCATCCTTGAGTTGTTCAGGAGTGGGACAGATTCGAAATAGATAGCAGAGGCTTTGGAAATAGAATTGACATTGAAACCACCACCCAAATGGTACTAGTGTGAGGACAGACCCAAAATAACACAGAAAAGGATTTCAAAACTGAGCTGACTTGCTGACAGAAGTTTTTTAAAAAAAGTATTTGCAGTTGAATCTGACATAGTAGATTGCCTGCTAACTGTGTTCTGCCAAATCAACATTCTCAAGAGGATGCCAACAAATAATATTCAAAAGAACCAAAATAGAATTTAAACATACTCAACAGGAGATGCCAACACCAATATGACCCAGATGTTGGAATTCTATCAAAAGGTGTTAAAACAGCTACTATAACTATGCTCCCTTAGATGAAAATAAACACCTTGAAAAAGAGTAAGCTGTGAGAAGTTCTCAGCAGAGTAATAGAGCCTAGAAAATAATACTAAATGGAAATTATAGAGCTGAAAATTCATTATCTGAAATTTTTTTACAGGCACCATCTGTGCTCAGTAAGAGAATGATGAAGACAGTGGAAACAGTCAGTGAACTTTAAGATAAATCAACACAAATTAATCTGATGACCAGAGAGGAAAAAAATATGTAGAAATATGAACAGAAACTCAAGCCCTATGGGATGATATAAAAATAGTATTCATGTCACTGAAATCCCAGGAGGACAGGAGAGAGATTGGTGTAGAAAAAAATATTCGAAGAAATAATATCTGAAAACTTCTCAAATTTTGTAAAAGATGAAAATTTACAGATTCAATATCAAGGAGCTTGAAATAATATAAAATCAAAGAAAATTATGCCTAGACACTTAATAATCAAACTGTTGAAAGCCAAAGGTAAAAAAAAATGTTGAAAATAGCCATAGAAAAACAGCATATACATAGGAAAACAAGGGTATGAATGACTGAATTTTTCTTAAGAGAAACCATGGAGATGTAAAACAGTGGAAAAACATCTTTAAATGAAAAAAAAAAGTCAACCCCGATTCCTATAGTCCATGAAAATATGTATCAGAAATGATGAAATAAAGACATTCTCAGATTTAAAAAACCTAAGAAAAGTTTTTGCAAACAGATCTATTCTTAAAAATGTTAAAGTAAATTCTTCAGGCTGAATGGAAATGATAGCAGGAGAAAATTTGAGTTTCAGGAACAAAAAAAGACCAAATTAAATGGCAAATTCTGGGTAAATATGGGATTCTATTTTTGTCTTCTTAAGTTCTTTAAAATATGTATGACTGTTGAAAGTAAAAATGATAACATTGTCTATCAGGGTTTTTAATACATGGAGATGTACTATGTATGATGACTATAAAACAAAGAGGGGAGGGAAAAGGTACCTAGATAGTTGTCATTGAGGTTGTAAAATATTAAATGTGTAAAAAGAAAAAATAGATATGTACATTGTAATCCTTAAAACAATCACTTAAAAATATGCAAAAAAAAATTAAAACAGAATACCAAAAAGTATTCAGATAATCCAAAAGAAGTTGGAAAAAGGAGATCAATGTCAGAGGGACAAACAGAAAACAACAAATAATATGGTATACCTATATCCAACCATATCAGTAATTACATTAAATGTAAGTGGTGTAAAGAAACTAATTAAAACGTATTGTCATATTGGATTAAATAACCAAACTATATGTTTTATAAAAGAAATCCACTTTATATAAAAGACATAGGGTAAAATACAATATGGAAAGTGATATACTATGGTACAGCAATCAAAACAAAGCTGGAGTGTTTATATTAGTGTCTGGCAAAGTAGAATGCAGAGCAAGGACTAGTACCAGGAATAAAGAGCAGCATTACATAACTAAAGAATAAAGGGTCAATTTACCAAAAAGATATAACAATACTACATGTATATGTGCCTAACAACAGATCTTCAAAATACATAAAGCAAAAAGTTGGCTGGGCCTGGTGGCTAACACCAGTGATCCTAGCACTTTGGGAGGCCAAGGAGGGCAGATCACTTGAGGCCAGGAGTTCAAGACCAGCCTGGCCAACATGGTGAAACCCCGTCTCTACTAAAAATACAAAAATTAGCCAGGCATGGTGATGCATGCCTATAATCCCAGCTACTCAGGAGGCATGAGAATTGCTTGAACCCAGGAAATGGAAGTTGCAGAGAGCCAAGTTTGTGCCACTGCACTCCAGCCTGCGTGATGGAGTGAGACTATGTTACAAACAAACAAACACATAAAGCAAAAACTTCCAGAACTGAAAATAAAAATAGACAAATCCACAGTTATAGATGGAGATTACACCATTCTTCTTTTAGTAATTGATAGAAAAAGTTGTGAGGAAGTCAATAAGGATATAGAAAACCTGAAAAATACTATCAAACAACATGACCTAATTGACATTTTTAGAAATGACCACCCAACAGCAGACTATACATTCCTTTCAAGTGTTCATGGAACAGTCACAAAGAGAAATCATTTTCTGGGACATAAAACACACTTTTAAAAAATTTTAAAGAATTGAAATGATAAAAAGTATGTTCTCTAATCATAATGAAATTACACTAAAAATTAATAACAGAAAGATATCTGGAAATGCCCTAAATATTTTAATTAAACAGTAAACAAGAGAAATTGGAAAATATTTTGAACTGAATGACAATATATACTTTATCAAAATTTTTAGAATGTAACTAAAGCAATACTTAGAACTAAATTTAACATTACTTGCTTGTATTTAGAAAAGAAGAAAGGTCCCAGATCAACAGTATAAGCTTCCATTTCAAGGAACTAGGAAAAGAAAAGTAAATTAAATCCAAACAAAGCCAAATGAAGAGACTAGTAAATATAAGATCAGATCAACTTCACTGATCTTCAGAGAGATACAAATAAAACCACAATGAGATACCATTTCACACCAGTCAAAATGGCTATTTTTAAAAATTCAAAAAATAATAGATGTTGGCGAGAATGTGGAGAAAATGAGACACTTACATGCTATTGGTAGGAATATAAGTAAATTAGTTCAACCTCTGATATAGCTTGGCTGTGTCCCCACCAAAATCTCATCTTGAATTATAGTTCCCATAATCCCCATGTGTTGTGGGCGGGACCTGTGGGAGGTAATTGAATCATGGGGTGGTATCCCTCATGCTATTTTCATGATAGTGAGTAAACTCTCACAAAATCTGGTGGTCTTCTAAGGAGCTTCCCTCTTCACTTGGTTCTCATTCTTTTCTTTCTTGCCATCATGTGAAGAAGGACATGTTTGCTTCCCCTTCTGTCATGACTGTCAGTTTTGAGGCCTCCCCAGCCATGTGGAACTATGAGTCACTTAAAACTCTTTCATTAATAAATTACCCAGTCTCAAGCAATTCTTTATAGCAGCGTGAGAACAGACTAATACAGTAAATTGGTACTGGGAATGGGGCACTGCTATAAGGATACCCCAAAATGTGGAAGCAACTTTGGAACTGAGTAACAGGAAGAGGTTGGAACAGTTTGGATGGCTCAGAAGAAGACAGGCAAATGTGAGAAAATTTGTAACTTCCTAGAGACTTGGAGGGCTCAGAAGACAGAAAGATGTAGGGAAGTTTGGAACTTCTAGAGACTTGTTGAATGGCTTTGACCAAAATGTTGATAGTGATATGGACAATGAAGTCCAGGCTGAGGTGTTCTCAGATGAAGATGAGGAACTTGTTGGAAACTGGAGTATAGGTCACTCTTGCTCTACAGAGACTGGTGGTATTTTGCCCCTTCCCTAAAGATCTGTGAAACTTTGAACTTGAGAGATATGATTTAGGGTATCTGGTGCAAGACACTTCTAAGTGACAAAGCATTCAAGAGGAAGCAGAGCATAAAAGTTTGGAAAATTTACAGCCTGATGATGCAGTGAAAAAGAAAAATTACATTTTCTGGTGAGAAATTCAAGCCAGCTGAAGAAATTTGCATAAGTAGCAAGGAGCCAAATGCTAATCACCAAGACAATGGAGAAAATGTCTCCCGGGCATTTCAGAGGTCTTCACGGAAGCCCATCCCATCAGAGGTGCAGAGGCCTACAAAGAAAAAATGGTTTCATGGGCCAGGCCCAGGGCCTTGCTACTTTGTACAGTTGGGACTTGGTGCTCTGCATTCCAGCCATGGCTAAAAGGGGCCAACATACAGCTCAGGCCATTGCACCAGAGGGTGCAAAGCCACCTAAACCTTGGTGGCTTACACATGGTGTTGGCCCTGCAGGTGCACATAAGTCAAGAATTGAGGTTTGGGAACCTCCACCTAGATTTCAGAGGATGTATGAAAATGTCTGGATGTCCCTGCAGACATTTGCTGCATGGGTGGAGCCCTCATGGAGAACCTCTGCTAGGGCAATGTGGAAGAGACATGTGGGGTTGGAGCCCCAACACAGATAGTGGAGCTGTGAGAAGAGGGCCACTGTCCTCAACACCAGAATGATAGATCCACCGACAGCTTGCACCATGAGCCTGGGAAAGCCACATACACTTAACATCAGTCTGTGAAATCAGCTGAGGGGGGCGCTGTACCCTGCAAAGCCACAAAGTTGGAGCTGCCCAAGCCCTTTGATGCCCACTCCTTGCATCAGCATAACCTGAATGTGGGACATGGAGTCAAAGGAGATCACTTTGGAACTTTAAGTTTTAATGACTGCCCTATTGGATTTTGAACTTGCATGAGGCCTATAGCCCATTTATTTTGGCCAATTTATCCCATTTAGAATGGTGTATTTACCCAATGCCTGCACTCCCATTGTATCTAGGAAGTAACTAACTTGCTTTTGATTTTACAGGCTCATAGGCGGAAGCGACTTGCCTTGTCTCAGATGAGACTTTGGACTTGGACTTTTGGGTTAATCCTGGAATGAATTAAGGCTTTGGAGGATTTTTGGAAGGGTATGATTGTGTTTTGAAATGTGAGGACATGAGATTTGGGAAGGGCCAGAGACGGAATAATATGGTTTGGCTGTGTCCCCACCAAAATCTCAACTTGAAATATATCTCCCAGAATTCCCACATGTTGTGGGAGGGACCCAGTGGGAAATAATTGACTCATGGGGCTAGTTTCTCCCATGCTATTCTTATGATAATGAGTAAGTTCTCATGAGATGTTATGGTTTTATAAGGGGCTTCCACTTTGCTTGGCTATCATTATTCTCCTTCCTGCCATCATGTGAAGATGGACATGTTTGCTTTCCCTTCTGCCATGATTGTAAGTTTCCTGAAGCCTCCCCAGCCATGCAGAACTGTTAGTCAATTAAACCTCTTTCTTCTATAAGTTCCCAGTCTTGGAAAGTTTCTTTATAGCTGTATGAGAATGGACTAATACAATCCCTATGAAAAGCAGTATGGAGATTTCTCAAAGAACTAAAACTAGAACTATTATTTGACCCAGTAATATCACTACTGGGTGAACGAAAAAAAATTGTTTTATCTAAAAGATACCTGGACTCATATATTTATTTCAGCTCTATTCGTAATAACAAAGACATGGAATCGATCTAAGTGTCTATCAATAGTGGATTAGACAAAGAAAATGTGGTACATATACAACATGAAATACTCCATAGCCATAAAGAAGAATGAAATCATATTCTTTGCAACAACATGGATGCAGCTGGAGGCCATTATCCCAAGTGAATTAACATAAAAAAAGAAAGTCAAATAACACACGTTTTCATTTATAAGTGGAAGCTAAACAATGGGTACATATGGACATAAAGATGGAAACAATAGACACTGATTACTCCAAAAGTGGGGAGGGATGGAGGCAGTCAAGATTTGAAAAACTACCTACTGGGTACTATGTTCACTGTTTGGGTGATGGGTTCACTAGAAGCGCAAACCCCAGCATCACCCAATATACCCAAGTAAGAAACCTTCATATATACATCCTGAATCTAAAAGTAAAAAGTAAAGATAAAAAATAAAGTTTGAGATTAAATTTGGTGGTCACTGAAATTTAAGAATTAAAAAAAAATTGTCCAAGCACTTAAAAAGGTGAGAAAAGTCACCTGTAGAGAGGGAAAACAGACCCCAATTTGTTCATAAATTGACAGAAGGCAGAAAACGAGGTTAATAGAGTGCTGTAGGAAAATAAATATGTCCGGTAAATAGAATGGTGAACAAAATCAAACCACATAACCTCTCAGTGATGTGGAATCTGTGGCATCAAAAGACTAACAATGAGCACTGGATCCACCATGTCTCCTGTGATAAATATTGTGTCCCCTGTACATTGTATCTGGCACATTGAAGGCGCTCAATAAATACTTGCTGAACAAAAAATAGAGAGTAGAAATTAATGAAAATGAAGACGGAAAAACAATAGACAAAACTAATGAAACTAAAAGCTAGTTCTTCAATAACAGTGATCTTTTAAAAGATCACTAAATAAATGCTAAATAAAGAAGAACAAACAATTTACCAATATCAAGAAGAAAAAAGGTACATCACCACAGGCCCTACAGACAGTAAAATAATAATAATAAACAATGAACTATTAATAAACAACCTTATACCTTTGAGTTCAACAACTTAGATGAAATGGAGCAATTCCTTGAAAGACACAAACTATCAAAACTCACTCAAGAATAAATAGATTATCTGAATAATACTGAAATGTAATTCGTACTTCAAAACATTCCCACAAAGAAAACTCCATGTTCAGATGGTTTCATTGGTGATTTCTAAGAAAGATTTAAATGAAATTATTAGCAATTCCATGTGATTTCTTCTAGAATACATAAATGAAGGAAATACTTCCTAACTCATTACCCTAGTACTAAAACCAAATACATTGCAAGAAAAGAAAACCACAACAAATATCCCTCACAAAAATAGACTAAAAAATTCTTAACCAAATATTTAAAAATTTAATAAATTATATATAAAAAGAATAATACATCACTACCAAGTGAGGTTTATTCCAGGAATAGAAGGCAGGTTTGGCATTTGAAAATCAATCAGCATAATTTACCATTTAAAGATTAAAGAATAAAAACTATACAATCATTTCAATAGATGCAAGAAAAAGCATTTAACAAAATTCAATATCCATTAGTGGTAACAATAATAATAATAAGAAGAAGAACTCAGTTTAATAAACATAAAAGAGAACTTCTTTAACCTGGTGAGAGGCATGTATGAAAAACCTGTAGCGAACATCATACTTAATGGTGAAAGATTTAACGCTTTCCCTCCAAACTTGAGAATAAGGCAAGAATGTCTACTCTCATAGCTCTTATTAAAACATCATGATTTATGTCCTAGCCAGTCCAGTTAGGGCAAGATAGAAAAATGAAAAGAATGCATATCAGAAAACAAGAAATAAGCTTGTCCCTGTTTGTGGACAACATGATTGTGTAGAAAATACCAATCAACTGAATCCCCTGGAACTAGTAAGTTGGTTTAGTAAAGTTGCAGAATACAACTTCAATGTACCAAGATCAATTGTATGTTAATAAACTAGCAATGAACAATTGGAAATGTTAAAAAATACAATTTACAATAATAACCCCCCTAAAACAGAAAATATATAGGTATTTATTTAACAGAGTATATGCTGGATCTGTTTTCTGAAAACTATAAATCTCTAGTAAAAGAAATCAGGCAAGATATAAATAATTAGCAAAAGATAAGCCACAGGTGGAGAAACATTGGAAATCATATTTCTGATGAAGGGTTTGTATCCAGAATATATAAGGAACCCTCAATACTCAATAATAAGTAAACAACCCAATTAAAAAATATGGCAAATATTTGAGTAAAACACTTCCACAAAGAAGTGGCGGGTAAGTATACAAAAAGATGTTCAACAACATTTGTCACTAGAGAAACACAAAACCACAACAATAATATTCAATTACACAACTAGGAAATGGCTAATTTTTAAAAAATTGACTGTAATAAATGTTGATGAGGAAGTGAAAGAAATGAATCTTTCACTGAATGTTTTTCAGTGCATTCGAGAATGCGAATTTGTACAGCCAATTTTGAAAACAGGTTAACAACTTATTAAATTAAACATACACTTACCATACGACCCAGAAATTTCATTCCTAGGTATTTACTCAAGAGAAATGAAAACTTACCTGCACACAGAAACCTGTGTACAAATGTTCTTAACAGCTTTATTCATAACAGCCAAGAACTTAAAGCAGATTCAATGTCCTTCAGTGGATGAATTAACTGTGGTACATTAATACAATAAAATACGACTTTACAAGAAAAAGGAACAAACTACTGATGACACACAGCAACACAGATTTATCTCAAATGCTCTATGCTAAGTGAAAGAAGCTAGGCTGAAGAGTCTACATGTTGATTCCATTTATAGGGCAGTCTACGGAAGTCAAAATTATAGAAACAGTGGTTGCCAGGAGCTGGGGTGGCTGGATGGCTTGCTAATGAGGCAGCATAAGGGAAATTTTTGGGAGTGATGAAACTATTCTGTCTTGATTTTGGTGATGGTTTGATGACTATATACATTTCTCTTAACTCATAAAACTGTACATGAAAAAGAGTGAATTTTACTGTATGTAAGTTTAGAAGTGAATAATAATAATGGATAAAAAGTACAATATTAATACAGACATGTTGGCCAAAATAAGATATTCAATGTGTTATGTTTAACTTGGCTCAACACTTTGTAAACAAAAACATCAATGGCTTTTCCAAATGCACATTTTTAATATTGGAAAGAATGCGTTATATTTGAATTGATGATGATTTTATGGACTTGTCCCATTTCTATTTATTTGCTTATTTATTTAGAGACAGGGTTTTGTTCTGTCACCCAGGCTGGAGTGCAATGGTGCAGTCATAGCTCACTGTAACCTCGAACTCCTGGGTTCAAGAGACCCTCTCACCTGAAACTCCTGAATAGCTAGGACTACAGGCACATGCCACCATGCCCCACTAATTAAAATTAAAAAAAAATTGTAGAGGTGGGGTCTCACCATGCTGCCCAAGCTGGTTTCAAATTCCTGGTCTCAAAAAATCCTCCTACCTCAGCCTCCAAATGCGTCATCCCATTTAGAATATCTTGTTTTCCAGTAATGAATACTTATAAGTAAATTTTTTGGTACTTTTCAAATGTTTTAATTAGCTGGGGCATTAGTAAGGCATTGAGCTGGTTTTAAGTATGGCATCGAATCTATAAGAACAGTGTTACATCATATAGGAATTTATCTCAAGTGTTTCCATGTGAAAATATGGCCTTTGCTATCTGGAACACCTAAGGAAGCAGACATTCTTAGAAGCTGTATTTTTCAGGTACTTCCAAAGCAACAAATCTAAAAAATTATACTCATTGTTCAGCTTGTTTGAATAGAACATACTAAGCATGATTTAATATTTTCTCAATGTCTCAGAGTCTTCATTAAAATACTGAATCTTAAACCTGAGTGGAACCTGAAAAATTCCATATCTGAATATGATATATAAACTTAAGAGCCTAGTTGTACTAAAAATATAGGTATGTTACAACTACATGCTTTACAACTTAACACAAATGAGTTCATATATCATAACTTACTTGTATCAACCCAGAGTAGTAGACAAGATGACTTGTACAGTCCAGCATTTTACAGACTTGGTAATGGATATTCATGGAAATTAAATGATTTACCAAATTGTCAGCAGTGAAGCTGAGCATAAACCGAGGTTGTCTTATTCCTATGGGTGGGCATGTGCTGAATGGTAGCATAATACAGAATATTGGGGGTAACACTAAATAAATTGTTACTTCAGCACTCAATCCCCTAATTCAGCCACCATCCCCACCACAACCCAACAGACCTCAATTTCCAGGGAACCGACCATTTGTTATTTTATCTTCCACATAAATAAAAACCCAACTTTAAAAGTTATTATTTTAAAAACTCTATTTTTGATTATTTTGTTGCAAATGATTAAGAAACTTGGCAGTGCAGTCATTCAATATCTTGCCACTTCAGAGGCCAAGATTGCTAGGGTGGATGAAGATAATGATAAATTATCTTGCTCAAATGGGGTCATCTAGTTGTTGTAAAGAATTAACTTCCTATAATATAGTAGATCTTTTGAGCAAAGTGGCCTTGCTGCTATTACTGAATTTAAAGGGAAAACTAAAAGGTCCCTGCATTGTCTATTGTCAGAGTTGCAGTATCCAGAAATCTGTTTAATACTCAGTCATCTTTATTTGACTACTGGTATCAATGGGGAAGGACCTGGTGTGTTTTGTAGGTTGATATCACACTTAGATAAATGTAACAGTTGCAGCCAGCTAATGGGAAAACATAGGGCAGATATTATCACACTTGGTGATCACTCACATCTTGTACTTTAGGCTTTTTGCAGTAGGTACAGCCCTGCAGAGGAGGATCAGAGCTCTGATTGTACATTAATGATTTGAAGTATACCATTGTCCTCAGAACCCATTTCAAAGTACCTTGCTTCTAAATCCATACCAGATGAAATATTTCAGGTATTTGACCTCCATCTTCTGGCTCTTCTCCTGACTGCAGCTGAACCATTTAGGAAAAGAAACCCCAAACGGCTCTGAAATCTGGCAGCCATGATAGTAAAAAAAAAATTGCTTTAATGGATATTGTTCCTGCTCACTTGCCCACGCATCCTTGAAAATTTCGTTCGGTTTAGGCTTACACATTAGTGCACTTGAATGAGATCCCCTTCAGAAAGTCAGTAGAAGTCTTTGCTTCAGATGTTTCAGGGAGAAACTTTACTCTCATCTTTCCTGGTGCTCGCCTACATCTGATTTTCTCTCATCAGATCTCTTAACATTAGATAGGAGATAGATGAGATAGATGCTTGTGCGGACAAGAAAGTCAGGTGTACAGATTGCACTGGATGACTGGATGACTGCTTACTTTCCTTAATAGAGAGCTTTATTTTTTAAAGTATTCAGAGAAAGATAAGTTATTTCCGTGTCAATGTACTTGGTTATTTCCATACACAGTATGCTGGAAAAATTTCTGTCTGGTTTGGCTTGAAGAGTTTCGTTGTTGCTCTTTTCTTTTTTCTTTTCTTTTCCCCTTCCTTCCTTCCTTCCTTTCTTTTCTTTCCTCTTTTTTTTTTTTTTTTTTTGAGACAGAGTTTCTTTTTGTCACCCAGGCTGGAGTGCAGTGGTGTGATTTCAGCTCACTGCAACCTCCACGTCTGGGGCTCAAGCAATCCTCCTACCTCAGCCTCCCAAGTAGCAGGGACCACAGGCTCACACCACCATGCCCAACTAATGTGTTGCTGTTTTCTTAATTTTGAGGAGACGCTTTTCTTGGAAAAGATGTGGTATTTTTTTCTGTCAACTTTTGGGATTAACAAGTTTAGTGTGACAGCTTTTAACAAGAACCCAAAATTGACTTAATCTAATCACAAGGATTCTTTATGAAATGCACTACTAGAATTTATCATTTTTAAAGAAGAGTTTGACCTGACTTTTATTCTTTAAATTCACAGAGTTGTATACCCTTAATATTAAACATTTTGTCTACTGGCAGAAAAGATAAAGCATTTTTTTAACTTATCTTGTCAAATTGTGATGGTGTCAATTTAATTAAAAGGTACATAGTTTTAACATGGTTTATTTTGAGTAAAATGTATATAATTTTAAATTTTTATGTATATGCTATGTTTATTAAAATAATTATTTTGTTTAGTATTCCCTAAAGCACAGAAATGTTCACAGTCACTAAACCTTCATGTTTATATTTAAGCTCTAAAGAGGTTTTGTTTTAATATGTAAAAGAATCCCTTTATCCAAGATGAAAAATAAACGCACCCTTTTGTTCCAGAGTACAGCTTCTGGCTATAAGACATATGCCAGATGCCTTGCTTGACAAAGAACAGTGAGTGTCCCTGTTGATAATTGATCACGTATGGCTACCACCATCTCTGACTTTACTAGCCATAAATATTTATTTCAATGAAATTATCTTTTTTCCCATGTATTAACACTAACCAGATAAGGACTTTCCTCTTTTTTATTTCCTGTCTTTTTTTCTTTAAAGTTGGTACATTATCTGAACAAATTCAATAAGTGTTTGCACTATGCATATTTTTCATTGAGAAGCTGTCTCCCTTTAGCACACAAATTATTGCCCACTACTGGGGATTAATTCACTTACAGAAGTTTACAGCTTGGAAGCATTGAAATTGTATTAAAAAAATAGGTGTACAAATTCTGCACATACCAAATTTTTATTCCAATTTTCAGAGTATCTTCTTTTATTTTTAGATGAATCTACGTTCTGTATTTACTGTAGAACAACAAAGGATTTTACAGCGTTATTATGAAAATGGAATGACAAATCAAAGTAAAAATTGCTTTCAGCTCATATTACAGTGTGCACAGGAGACTAAGCTGGACTTCAGTGTAGTCAGGGTAAGTATTGAGGTCTTACACTCAAATTTAAAGCTTCTTATTACAAGTGATATTTGCTTAATATGAGAAAAAATATTCAGGGTATGAAGTCACTAATTTTATAAACAGCTTCACTTCCCTGGTATAACAATACTATTTTAAAAATAAATAGGGCTAATCATTTAGTATGTATTTGTTTCTATAAATACCTTGAACACACAGAAACCCTTGCAGCGTAAACATCTTTTTAAAATCTTAGCTTTTTAAACTAATAAATACATTTAAGATTCATTGTTGATCTTATGCTCTTTAAACCCCAAATTAATGTAGATGTAATCCCCAAAAATAATATCAGTAAAACAGGCATTTACCAAGTGAATACTATATGTGACATATTTTTCATTGTATTTGAACTTTTCATCAGGCATTTGGTCTGCTTTATAAATACTTTCTCTTTCTAAATAAAATGCATGCAGTTTAATGGGTTAGCAAGTAAGGGACAAGGACTCTTAAGAGAATAAATTTTTCTTTATCACAATCATAGTTATTCAGTAGTAAAAATCAGAGCTGCTACATTCTTGAAAGGTAACGAGAAGGTGATTGAGAGGAGGCAAGAGATAAATCTAACAGAACTGGTCACGGATCTTATTGAATGCATAGGACCTTTTATGTCTGTTTGAAAATGTTACAAATCCTCTTAGCGTGAAACCTTAGTGATTGAAAGATTAGCAACTTTCTCCTGCTTGGCATTCATTAGGCTAATTTAGGAAAGAGAAAGGATGTCTGTTCTTAAGTTTAGTTTGCTTTCGATGTACCTTCAAAGACCCTAAAGATAAATATATTTTAATAAGAATAATCATTCAGAATATGTGTTTCTTAAAGACTAAAAGATTTATTCGCCTTCAAATAGGGAATTGTACCACCAATTCTAGACAAAAATATCCAGGATATCTGTTTCTTTTATTTTTTTCTTTTTTTTGAAACGGAGTTTCGCTCTTGTCGCCCAGGCTGAAGTGCAGTGGCCGGATCTCAGCTCACTGCAACCTCCCTCTCCCAGGTTCAAGCGATTCTCCTGCCTCAGCCTCCCGAGTAGCTGGAATTACAGGTGCCTGCCACCACGCCCGGCTAATTCTTTGTATTTTTAGTAAAGACGGGGTTTCGCCATGTTGGACAGGTTGGTCTCGAACTCCTGACCTCAGATGATCTGCCCGCCTCGACCTCCCAAAGTGTTGGGATCACAGGCGTGAGCCACCGCGCCCGGCCCAGGATATCTGTTTCTTATTTGCTGAGACCAATCATCATACTCAGATTTGTTTAAGAACCAGAAATATCTCCTATTAACAGCTCTAAACAGCTTATTTTAAATATCTTTACTAAGCCACAGAGGAAAATGTCTAATTGTATTAGAAAATGTAATATAAAATGGGTTGATGAGATTGCATTTAGTAAGTGCTACTTTTTTTTTTCCTGCAGTAATTTCCTCTGCTTTTTTTTTTCTTTTTTCTTGTCATTACCTTAAAATGAAAACGCTTGCCAGGCAGCTGCATTGTGAAAATCTTTCATATTGTGAAATCTTTCATATTTCCGATGTGTTATTGCAAACTTCTCATAACTTACTTGATTGTGATTGAATATTGAGAGTGTTGAAATACAGAGATTTATATTTATGCTCAAAATGGTGTGAAAATCTAAAACAAACAATGGGAATGAAATATATAATTTCTTAGAATGTAGATTATCAGTAAAATGTTACATGTTACAAGAAAGTGTAAAAAATGGATTCATTCCCTCCATTCCAATGTAAATTGTACAGAAATTCAGTCTTCTTTATCTAAATCCCAACACATATTTGATGGGTTTTCCAGTTAAAGGGCAAAAGGAATTTTTTTGTAGACTCATCACTCTACACCCCACCCCCCTCCCCAGATACTTTGCTAGAGTTATATGTTCTACTTGAAAGAGCTCTTTCTTTATTTTTACTAAGATAGTATTCATTGCATTTTTCTTTTAAAAAATCCTTAAGTCCCACTGTATTAAGAACTTGATCCCAATGTAAAGAAAACTTAAAAAGTTAAAACATCAAGCAAAAATAAATATACTGGTGTAAAAAAAACAAGAAAACAAAGAAGGAGATATAAAAAAAGGGAAAGAAGTTTAGAGACAGTGAATTTCTAAGAAAGAACTGAAACACAAATTTATGGACACTAAGGATTAATGACCCGAATTACTTTTCTTTCTTTTTTTTCCTATGAATATCACTTTATTAGTTCCTAACCCCAAATTCTCATCATATCAATTTCATTTGACCCATCTTATAAGATGTAACGTAAATGAGAATCATTTACATCTTATAAGCTTTGGTATATTTTGATAATAATTGATAATAACTGAACAAATTTTAGTAAAATTTAATTCAGCTTTTGGGAAGCCTCAGGCAATGTGTTTTCTTTATTTTCATTTTAAATGGAAATATTTCTTACATACTTTCCTACTTTCTTCAATTGAGAATGTGGAAAACAATTGAACCCTTACTTTTTGACTCAGGGTTTTCACTATGGAAATCAATTATTATACTGTGCCATAAAATAATAATACTCACAACTTGGTAAGGTATATGGAATTATTTTTTTCCTTAAAGGACCCCAGACTGCTATTTAGTAATTTCTCCCATTGCTTCTGTTTTGTGTGCCTTCTCTTCTCCCTTTAGTGAGCAATGTTTAGTGAACAATTTTAGTTTTGGTACTGTTGGGGTGCCTGCCAACATAAACCTCTATCACTAATATCCCTCCTATTTTGTAATTTCTAATTTGTTGTTGATTAGAGAAAGTGGGTTTTAAGGTTAGGTGTTGCAGTGAAGTACATGGATCTTGTGACATCTATGTTGGTTGTGTTCTGGACAAGGGAGGTTGCTAGGTTGCTATATAGCTATTTCTTATGTAAATGGATATTATTCTACTGCATTTTACTTTTTGATGGGTACACTATATAAATATCTATCAAGCTATATAAGAAACTATATATAATATGCATATGTATGTATAAACTATAAAACTTTATAAGTAAGCCATAAATTTGCAATGCACTAAAATCACTCTTAAACTTCCTGAGTTAAGGTAGACATTGTATGAAGAGAACACAATAGGTTACGTTGTGTGTTTTTTTTTTTAAGTGGCCCAGAGCTGCCCTCCAGATGTCATAGTTCTTGAATTCAAATTTTATAATTTTACTGTGCTTTCCCATTAATTTTTTTTAAATGTAATGCTTATATATTTTTGTAAAGATTACGTACAAATATGTTATGCTTCCCACAGGTTATTTTTACTTAAAAAGCCATAATGTGGCAACTTATTTTGAATATTTGTAAAATTCAACTTTTAACATTTTAGTTTTAAGTATTTCTCTAGTATATAATTTAAAACCTTTTAGTTTTTCTCCCTGTCTCCTGTGACATTTATATTCATACATCTTTCTGCTTGTCATTCTCACTCCTGCTGTTTCATGAAAGTCAGAGTGAGTTTAAAATTCTCACTGCCTCATGTGAAGTAAAGTGGAACACTACAGTTTGTGGAACATTTTCTTTATGGGAGAAACAGTAATTATAAAAATAAAATGGCCAATAGAGATGACTATTTTCAGGAGTTTCTAACCACTACATGTAGGGTAGTGGAAGGTTTAATGTGCTTTCAGGTGAGGTAGAATTGACAGAATCTTTGCTCTCTCACTTGCCCCCAGAATACCCTTCCACAAGCTATTTATTATTTCTGAACCTCAGTTTCTTCATTTACACAATTAGAAAAATAACACCTACCAAAGGAGTTTATATATATATATATAATATATAAAATAATAATACTCTATATCGATAGATCTATTATAGATCCTTTATTATAGATCCTTTATAGATTTATTAGAGATCCTTTATACTTTAGTTTTTTTATTTTTTTCTTTTACCTGTATGTACACCTTGGTTCCAAGACAAATGAAAATCTATCTATCTATCTATCTATCTATCTATCTATCTATCTATTGAGAGAACACATAATGGGGATTCAATACATATTAGCTTTTATTTACAGTAGTACAGCAACACTAATGTATATAATTATAAATTGTATAAGATGTACAGTAAACATTGAAAATTGGACAATTTATGTGGTCTTCAAAAACACATTCATACAAAAGTTAAACAAATATACTCTGAACTATTGTTTGTTCAAGGCTAGTTCATTTAATGTTTTCATTTTTCATTTATTTTAATTCGTTTTTTAGGAAAATATTTGGTGGAGACTGAGTCCCACTATATTGCCCATGCTGGTCTCAAAATGTTGGCCTCAAGCGATCCTCCTGCCTTGGCTTCCCAAAGAGCTGGAGTTACAGGCATGAGCCACTGTGCATGGCCTGTTTAATTCTTAATAGATTAATGTGCTTTGGTGTTTATAATATGGTATGCATTTTGGAATTATTATAAAGTTTAGTAATCACATTATAGAATATATTTCTTATTGTATAATTTAAGAAGATCCATGACTCAGAAAAATAATACTAAGATAATTATAATAAATTACTTACATTAAAATATGTATTTTGTAATTAAATCCTAAACACCAACCACTAGTATTATTTTTATTAATAATCTTAATCTGTTTACAAAATATATATTTATTGTATAAAATTTGGTAAGTTGAGAAAAATGTAAAGAAGACAATAACTACCATAGATTAGTGACAAACTGAAAACAAACAATTGCAGCTTGTAACAAAGAATTATTATTGACTTTAGTAGAAAATTACTCTTGCATACAAATCAATTTAAAAAGGTAAACACCTCAATATAAAAATAGGTAAAGGTAATGGATAGGCAATTCTATGAAAGTAATATTGTAACCATAGAAATTCATGTCAAAGCAGCAATTATACACTTTTTATTAACTCCTGGACTAGTAAAGACTACAAAAAGATAAGGCAAACTCTTGGTGAGGGTGTGAGGAAACCGGAACTCATACATTGGAGAGCACTTTGAAAATATTAGAGCCTAGCAATTTTTCTTTTAGTATTGCATTCTAATAGAGCAGCAGTACAAAGATGCATCTACGATGAGGTATATGGCAATATAACTTATAAGAAAGAATATTTCAAAAAATACTATAAATAATCTGATAGTATGAAATTAAGCAAGTTATGATATATTTATAAAATGGAAGTTGATGAGTCTAAAGATTGCAAATGTGTATTTGTTTAACAATACTATGAGCATTTCTTAATGCCATTAAATAGCCTACCTTTAGTATGTTTTTAATTTTTCAGTATTATAAATAAATATATGATGAACATCATTGCATATAAACTTTATCTACATTTGTAGGTTACTTTTAGGATAAATTACCACAAATGTATTTACTATGTCAAAGTGTATAAACATTTTTAGGTTTCTTGATACATATTAGTTGGATGGGTTATGAGGAGAGAAACAATAATACACTCTGTTTTCAAAGTTTGAAGGTATTTATTAAGTGTGAGTCCCTGATCATCTTTTGCCTTTGTACTTTAGTCAGTTTTTCTGTTATTTTACCTTTTTCTTTTACCTTTATGTACACCTTGGTTCCAAGACAAATGAAAATATAATGTACCACGTAAAATTTGTTTTTTCTTCGTTTGTTTTTAATTTTTTTTTCATAATACCATGTTTTATCCTTCCAGACGTGGGTTGGCAATAAGAGAAGAAAGATGAGTAGTAAGAACTCTGAATCTGGAACAGCAACAACAGGAACCTCTTTGTCAGCTCCAGACATCACAGTCAGAAATGTGGTTAATATTGCTCGACCCTCAAGCCAGCAGTCTTCTTGGACATCTGCCAATAATGATGTCATTGTAACTGGTATATACAGTCCAGCCAGTTCATCAAGTAGGCAAGGAACAAACAAACATACAGACACACAAATTACAGAAGCACATAAAATCCCTATTCAGAAAACAGCCACTAAAAATGATACTGAGTTTCAGTTACACATTCCTGTCCAAAGACAAGTAGCACACTGTAAAAATGCTTCCCTACTCCTAGGTGAAAAAACAATTATTTTGTCAAGACAGACAAGTGTGCTAAATGCTGGAAACTCAGTATTCAATCACGCAAAGAAAAACTATGGAAACTCTTCAGTACAAGCTTCTGAAATGACAGTACCTCAAAAGCCTTCTGTGTGCCACCGACCTTGTAAAATTGAACCAGTTGGGATTCAAAGGTCATATAAGCCTGAACACACAGGCCCAGCATTACATAACTTATGTGGGCAAAAGCCAACTATTAGAGACCCTTACTGTAGAACACAAAACTTGGAAATCCGTGAAGTGTTTTCATTGGCAGTTAGCGATTACCCCCAGAGAATTCTGGGAGGAAATGCCCCACAGAAGCCTAGCTCAGCAGAAGGAAATTGTTTGTCCATTGCAATGGAGACTGGAGATGCTGAGGATGAATATGCCAGAGAGGAAGAGCTGGCATCGATGAGAGCACAGATACCAAGCTATTCGAGATTTTATGAAAGTGGCAGTTCCCTTCGAGCTGAGAACCAAAGTACAACCTTGCCCGGACCAGGAAGAAATATGCCAAATTCACAAATGGTGAATATTAGAGATATGTCAGACAATGTACTGTATCAAAACAGAAACTACCATTTGACACCACGGACCTCATTACATACAGCATCTAGTACAATGTACAGTAATACCAATCCATTACGGAGTAATTTTTCTCCTCATTTTGCATCATCAAACCAATTGAGATTATCACAAAACCAAAACAATTACCAGGTAATGTGTAAATTTATTTTATAAAGGTTTTAAAAACTGTGTGTGTATCCAGTTAGATTTGGGACCTGGATCACTTAACTCATATATTGAAGTAATGTGAGATTTTTGCTTCAAAGTGGTGGTTTGGGGTTAACTCCTTGAAGAATCTTGTTCTTTGTTTCTCATGTTTTTAAATGATGAGGTCTTTTTTTCATGGAATATAGTCATTTTTATAACATGGCAGTCTTTCCCTGCATTTAAAATGATTTTGTTCTGGAAATGAGAGCTTAATGGGTAGCATGGAATTTCCCATTACTAAAATAGGGTTAAATTGGTCGGGCTCATGATCTTGAACATAGATTATTCCTATAATGGTTTTCAGTTGCATTTTGGGGAGCTGTCACTAGATGAGTGGTGGCTTCCCTGGTACATAACCAGGCAAGTCAATAATTTCTTTAGGTGCTGATGGCTGATAAGTCAGAGGCTATGGTAACTCAGCCAACTGCTTTTTAGAAATGTAAATGCTTTATTAAAACATTAAGTGAGAGAGTAGTCAAATAGTCATTTAAAAATGTTTATAGGGAAAAGACATATTCTGAGTAAGAATTATTGCAATTTTAGACCTGTGCTTAAAATAGTTGTTATTTATTTACTGTTTCATATATTCAATTGTTCAGGTATGCTTCAAATAATCACATTAACAGTGAGGTGTAAGCCTACCTCAGAACATCTCTTATCCTATAGATAATTCCCTCTGAAAAATCTGCTTTAGAGAATTTGAATAGCAGAGCTTGGATGGTTGCCATTTTTCCTTACTACTGGCTAGAACTTCTTATCTTTTCTTTTCTTTTCCTTTTTTTTTTTTTTTTGACGGAGTCTTGCTCTGTCACCCAGGCTGGAGTGCAGTGACGTGATCTTGGCTCACTGCAACCTCCGCTCCCTGGTTCAAGCGATTCTCCCGCCTCAGCCTCCCGAGTAGCTGGGACTACAGGCGTGTACCACCACGCCTAGCTAATTTTTGTATTTTTAGTAGAGATGGGGTTTCACCATGTTGACCAGGCTGGTCTTGGACTCCTCACCTCAGATGATCCGCCCACCTCAGCCTCCCAAAGTGCTGGGATTACAGGGGTGAGCCACTGGCCCAGCCTAGCACTTTCTATCCTTTCAACCACAATACTTAAGATTTGTCTGGATTTAAGATGCTTCCAGGCTGTTCTGAACCAGTTTAAGGAACCATCTTCTTTTAGCTCCCTCCATCTTACAGCTCCCTGCTTGAAAATGAAAAGCAATAATACAGTATAGGAAGCATCCCTCTGTCATCTGGCCATAACACAAGAACTCCATCATCATCATTAACAGTCATTCTTTATTGATAATTGACTCATTTTTATGTGTGTGCCCTTTAAAGAAGCATGCTTAGAGTAACATTGAATCATACCATTAAGATCCTCTACACACCCCTCCTTCATTCACCTACTCTTTTGTACTTCTTTACCCCTTCAGTGTTGTTCTTAATAATAGTAGTAACAATAACACTTACCATTTGTTGAGGGCTGACCATATGCTGGGACCTTTGGTCACTTTATATAACCAATCTCATTTAATCTTCATGATGATCTGGACAGATAGGCATTTTATCCATATTTCAATTGCTTGCCTAGGATTACATAGCTAGTAAATGACAGAACCAGAATTCCAACTCAGCAATTTATTATTTATCATATTTTCTGCTTTACCATACAGCATAACTATTTCAACTGTATTTGACTTACTGGGAAACCTGAGAATGCAAGGTTTAATTTAAATATTTTTTAAACCCACCACTCCCTAAAGGATAATTTAACCTGTGATTTTACCTTTACACAGTCTCTATTTTTTTCTGACAGAACTTTTAAAGAAACAATTTTTTAAAATAAAAGAACCTGCTTTTATTTTATTTATTGCAACAAAATTTAGCAACTGTCGTATGAATGATAATCTTCTTAAAAGAAAGGCAACCTGACCTAACAATTTAGAGTATAGGCTTAGAGCATGGACAGACCTGGATTCAAATTCAAGCTCTGCCACTTTCTACTTGTGAACAGATAAGAAGGTATAGCCAGTGGCTTATCCTCTTTGTGTAACAGTCTCTTTATTCGTATAATGTGGGCACTAATTCCTACTTCACAGGAATCTTGTGACAGGAAATGAAAAAAAAATCTATGCAAGGCTCTTTGTACTTTTCCTGGCACATAAACTTCTTATACATATGAACTCATAGTTGGAAAGTTAATGAAACTCTGCTAGTCTATGCCTCATTTATGTTCCAATTTCAAGTAAAATTTTGCACAGACCACAATTATCACAAGTTAACAGAAAGAAAACTTGTAGTACTGGCTAAAGAAGACTGGAAGTAAGTTATCACCTTCATTACAACTATTAAAAGCCCATTGTTATACTATATCAGACCTGTGTAAGCCAACCTGACTTGAGAGAGTATGGTGGAGAAGCCCTGGGGAATCACTTTACCTCAACTTTTCTTTTTAGTTAGTTCATATTTGGAAAATCAAGGCAGCCTGGGGAAGTGGAATCCATGGAGTTTTACCCTCCAAGGTGTTGCTGAAGCTCTATCACCAACACTCTTGGATCAGAGCTTAGAATCTGTGGTCATTTTGTCAACTTTCTATTATTATTATTATACTTTAAGTTCTGGGGTACATGTGCAGAACGTGCAGGTTTGTTACATAGGTATACATCTGCCATAGTAGTTTGCTGCACCCATCAACCCATCATCTACATTAGGTATTTCTCCTAATGCTATCCCTCCCCTAGGCACCCGCCCCCCAACGGGCCCCAGTGTGTGATGTTCCTCTCCCTGTGTCCATGTGTTCTCATTGTACACCTCCCACTTAAGAGTGAGAACATGCAGTGTTTGGTTTTCTGTTCTTGTGTTAGTTTGCTGAGAATGATGGTTTCCAACTTCATCCATGCTCCTGCAAAGGACATAAACTCATCCTTTTTGATGGCTGCATAGTATTCCATGGTGCATATGTGCCACATTTTCTTTATCCAGTTTATCATTGATGGGCATTTGGATTGGTTCCAAGCCTTTGTTATTGTCAATAGTGCTGCAATAAACATATGTGTGCATGTGTCTTTATAGTAGAATGATTTATAATCCTTTGGGTATATACCAGTAATGGGATTGCTAGCTCAAATGGTATATCTGGTTCTAGATCGTTGAGGATTTGCCACACTGTCTTCCACAATGGTTGAACTAATTTACATTCCCACCAACAGTGTAAAAGCATTCTATTTCTCCACTTCCTCTCCAGCATTTGTTGTTTCCTGACTTTTTAATGATTACCATTCTAACTGGCATGAGATGTTATCTCATTGTGGTTTTGATTTGCATTTCTCTAATGACTAGTGATGATGAGCTTTTTTTCATATGTTTGTTGGCTGCATAAATGTCTTCTTTTGACAAGTGCCTGTTCATGTCCTTTGCCCACTTTTTGATGGGGTTGTTTTTTTCTTGTAAATATGTTTAAGTTCTTTGTAGATTCTGGATATTAGCCCTTTGTCAGATGAGTAGATTGCAAAAATTTTCTCCCATTCTGTAGGTTGCCTGTTCACTCTGATGATAGTTTCTTTTGCTGTGCAGAAGCTCTTTAGTTTAATTAGATGCCATTTGTCAATTTTGGCTTTTGTTGCCATTGCTTCTGGTGTTTTAGTCATGAAGTCTTTGCCCATACCTATGTCCTGAATGGTATTGCCTAGGTTTTGTTCTAGGATTTTCATGGTTTTAGGTCTTACGTTTTAGTCTTTAATCATCTTGAGTTAATTTTTGTATAAGGTGTAAGGAAGGGGTTCAGTTTCAATTTTCTACATATGGCTAGCCAGGTTTCCCAACACCATTTATTAAATAGGGAATCCATTCCCCATTTCTTGTTTTTGTCAAGTTTGTCAAAGATTAGATGGTTGTGGATGTGTGGTGTTATTTCTGAGGCCTCTGTTCTGTTCCATTAGTCTATATATCTGTTTTGGTACCAGTACCATGCTGTTTTGGTTACTGTAGCCTTGTAGTGTAGTTTGAAGTCAGGTAGTGTGATGCCTCCAGTCTTGTTCTTTTTGCTTAGGATTGTCTTGGCTATGCAGGCTCTTTTTTGGTTCCATATGAAATTTAAAGTAGTTTTTTCTAATTCTGTGGAGAAAGTGGATAGTTGCTTGATGGGGATAGCATTGAGTCTACATTATTACTTTGGGCACTATGACCATTTTCACGATATTGATTCTTCCTTTCCATGAGCATGGAATGTTTTTTCATTTATTTGTGTCCTCTCTTATTTCCTTGAGCAGTGGTTTGTAGTTCTCCATTTTGTCAACATTCTTGCTATGAAACTGTAAGAAAACAAACAATTCTCTTGAGTTTCTCATGCTGAAACTATATAACAGAGATAGCTGCCTCTTTTCTGTGTTACACCACTTATCTTCAAGCCGTGATACTATTTCTGGAGGATAGTATAGTATCAAACTATCTAGAAAACTGAGTACAAATTGAAAAAATCCTAAAGGATACTAAGAAGTTAAAATCAGCTTTCTTTAGGAGCCTCTTGGGAATATAATATTAAGGGTTGAAGTGGTATTAAGGGAACTGGCAGGATGTTACTATAGCAAGATACTATGAACAATGAAGTTCCATTTCAAAAACTCTCCAGGCTAACCTCACTCATGGAGCCAGATGACAATCATATTGGTCTCCCTCCAAAGTGCCATTCACTTTTCATATTACCTCTATGTCAAACTGCCTGCTTGTCACAAGGGTGCTGTTGTGATTAAAATTTATTAATGATCATCTTTGTGAAGATATTGGGGCACTTTGGAAGAAAGGCGCCATAAATACAACATTTATCATTTCAGTTATTATTGTGGCTTGATAATTAATTGCATTCCCATTTCTCATGGATTTTAGAAGGTCTTTGGAATTAATAGAAGTAAAGCACTTTGGTGAACTTCCTTTAAAAATCTTTATAAGCACAATACATTTCTATTAGTAAAAGTGCCTTGGTAATGTCTTCCAACTTTCTCTATTACTTGTGGACTTTAGTGCTTTTGTTAAAAAGAAACGAAAGTTTAATAACAATAGAAACTTTAAATATCGTGGCATTTAAACCAACTCAAATGTTATTTTACCTGAGGAAAATGAGAGCCAGTAAGATTGAGTGACTTGGTCAAAATGACTCTCAGGAAAATATTCAAGTTTTTAAAAAAGTAATTGTAATCTGTGTTGAGTGGGTAGAGTTAGCAGGGATCACTTTTAAATAATTTGATTAAGACATATATTACATAATATAAAATTCACACATTAAAAGTGTGAATTCAGTGGTTTCTAATATATTCACAAAGTTGTTCAAGCAGCACCACAGTCTAATTTTTGAACATTTAATCACCTCAAAAATGAACCCCATACCCATTAGCACACGGCATCCCCTATCCTGGCACTAAGCAAGCAACCACTAATCTTTCTATCTCTATGGATTTATCTTTTCTGCATTTTAATATAAATGGAGTCATATAATATGGGCCATTTGAGACTGGCTTCTTTCAATTAGTATGATGTTTTTAAGTTTCATTCATGTCATAGCATGCATTAATACTTCATATTATGTTTTCTGATCCATGAATGAGTTATGATTTTTCACTCATTACATCTGTTCAAATTTCTTTCAAGAATGTTATGTACTTTTCAGTAGAGAAAATTTCTATTTCATTAATTTTTTTCTAAGTTTATTACTCTCTTTGATGCCAATTTTTTAAAAAATTCTTAATTTTTTATTAATAGAACAGTATCACTCAGTTATGATGATGAATGTTCTGACTACTTCTTTACTGGGTTTTGTTTTCTTTAGTATCAAAAGAACAGCACAATACTTATTTGCCACATTGGTATTTTGGCTTATTGCACTTTGATTGTAAAAAATACACTACTCTTTCCAGCCTCTGGTAATCATCTCTTTCCTCTTTATCTCCATGAGTTCAATTGTTTTAAATTTTAGCTCCTGCAACTAAGTGAGAATATATGATGTTTGTCTTTCTGTGCCTGGCTTATTCGACTTAACATAATGACCTCCAGTTCCATCTCTGTTGTGTCAAATGACAGGATCTCATTGTTATTTATGAGCGAATAGTTCTCCATTGTGTATACGTACCACATTTTCTTTATCTATTCACCTGTTGATGGACACTTAGGTTGCTTCCAAATCTTGTCTATTGTGAATAGTGCTGCAGTAAACATGGGAGTGCAGATATCTCTTCAATTTACTGTTTTCCTTTATTTTGGATAAATACTGATACCTTTATTGATGGATTTTATGGTAGCTCTATTTTTAGTTTGCTGAGGAACCTCCAACTCTTCTCCATAGTGCGTGTACTAATTTGTATTCCCACCTGCAGTTTATGAGGATTCCCTTTTCTCTACATCTTCACCAGCATTTGTTATTGCCTGTCTTTTGGATAAAAACCATTTTAACTGGGGTGAGATGATATCTCATTTTAGTCTTGATTTGCAATTGTCCAATGATTAATGATGTGGAGAACCTTTTCATATGCCTGTTGGCAATTTGTGTTTCTTCTTTCGAGAAATGTCTGTTCAGATATTTTGCCCATTACTTAATCAGATTGTTAGATTTTTTTCTTATAGAGTTGTTTGAGCTCCTTATGTATTCTGATTATTAATCCCTTATCAGACAGGTAGTTTGTAGGTATTTTTCTCCCATTCTGTGTGTTGTCTCTTCACTTTGTTGATTGTTTCCTTTGCTGTGCAGAAGCTTTTTAACTTGATGTGATCCCATTTGTCCATTTTTGCTTTGGTTTCCTGTGCTTGTGGAGTATTGCTCAAGAAATCTTTGTCAAGTGCAGTGTCCTGGAGATTTTTGCCGAAGTTTTCTTCTAGTAATTTCATAGTTTCTGGTCTTAGATTTGTTTTTAATACTTTTTTTTTTAATTATATAGTGAGAGATGGGGGTCTAGTTTCATTCTTCTCCATATAGATGTCCAGTTTTCCTAGCACCATTTGTTGAAAAGGCTGTCCTTTTCCTAGCGTATGTTCTTGGCAATATTGTCAAGCATGAGTTCACTGTAGATGTATGGATTTGTTTCTGGGTTCTCCATTCTGTTTCATTTGTCTATGTGTATGTTCTTATGCCAGTATCATGCTATTTTGGTTACTACAGCTTTGTAGTATAATTTGAAGTCAGGTAATGTGATTCCTCCAGCTTTGATCTTTTTGCTCTGGATAGCTTTGGATATTCTGGTTCTTTTATGGTTCCAGATAAATTTTAGGATTTTTTTCTGTTTCTGTGAAGAATGTCATTGGTATTTTGACGGGGATTGAATTGAATCTATAGATTGCTTTACATAGTATAGACACCTTAAAAATATTGATTCCTTTAATTCATGAGCTTGGACTATCAGTTCTGTTGTGTCCTCTTCAATTTCTTTTATCAATGTTTTATAGTTTTCATTATAGAGATCTTTCACTTATCTTTTAGTAATTTCCTAGGTATTATATTATTTTTGTAGCTATTGTAAATGGGATTACTTTCCAGAATGTTTGCTGTTAGCATTTAGAAATGCTACAGATTTTTGTATGTTGAATTTATATTCTGCAACTTAACTCAGTTTGTTTATTAGTTCTAATAGTTTTTTGGCAGAGTGTTTAGATTTTTCCAAATACATGATTATATCATCTGCAAACAAAGAAAATATGACTTCCTCTTTCAAACTTATTTATTTCTTTCTCTTGGTTGATTGCTCTAGCTAGTACTTCCAGTACTATTTTGAATAACAGTGGTGAAAGTGGGCATTCTGGTTGTTTTCCACATCTTTGAGGAAAAGGCTTTCATTTTGTCCCCATTCAGTATGATACTAGCTGTGAATCTGTCATATATGGTTTTTAATGTGTTGTGGTATGCTCCTCCTGTACCCAGTTTTTGAGAATCATTTTTCTTTTTATCATGAAGCGATATTGAGTTTTATCAAATCATTTTCAGCATCAATTCAAATGATCATATGGTTTTGTTCCTTCATTTTGTTGGTATGATGTATCACATTGGTTAATTTGCATAAGTTTAACCATCTTTAAGTTTCTGCAATAAATCCAACTTAGCCATAATGAATGATCTTTTTAATCTGTTCTTATGATCGATTTGCTAGTATTTTGTTGAAGTTTTTGTATCAATATTCATCAGGAATATTTGTCTGTAGTTTTTGTTTTATTTTGTTTTGAGACATCTTTGTCTGGTTTTGGTATTAGGGTGATACTGGCCTCATAGAATGAATTTGGAAGTGTGTTCTTATCGTCTATCTTTTGGAATAGTTTGAGTAGCAATGGTATTAGTTCTTAAATGCTTGGTAAAATTTAGCAGTGAAGAGATAAGGTCCCTTGCTTTTCTTTGCTGGGAGACTTTTTGTTATTGCTGCAATCTTGTTACTTATTATTGATCTGTTCAGGTTTTGGATGCTTTAATGGTTCAATTTTGGTAGGTTGTATGTATCTAGAAATTTTTCAGTTCCTTTTAGGTTTTCCAAGTTATTGGCATATAGTTGCTCATTATAGCCTCTAATGATCCTTTGAATTTCTGCACTATCAGTTATAATGTCTCCTTTTATACCTCTGATTTTGTTTATTTGAGTCTTCTCTCTTTTCTCCCCACAGTCTCGCTAAAGGTTTGTCAATTTTCTTATATTTTTTAAAAACCAACTTTTAACTTCATTGATCTTTTGTACTATTTTTTATTTCAATTTCCTTGATTTCTGCTCTGATTTTTATTTTTTTTTTCTAATAACTTTGGGTTTTGTTTGCTCTTTCTTTTCTAGTTCTCTGAAATGCATCTTTAGTTGTCTATCTAAATTTTCTCTACTTTTTGAATGTAGGCACTTACAGCTTTAAACTTTCCTCTTAATACTGCTTTTGCTATATCCCATTGTTTGGGTGTGTTGTTTTATCATTTTCATTTGTTTTGAGAAATTTTTAAATATTCCTTTTCTTTTCTTTTTTTCTTTTTTTTTTTTGAGATCGAGTCTCGCTCTGTCGCCCAGGCTGCAGTGCAGCGACATGATCTCGGCTCACTGCACGCTCTGCCTCCCGGGTTCACGCCATTCTCCTGTCTCAGCCTCCCGAGCAGCTGGGACTACAGGCGCCCGCCACCACGCCCGGCTAATTTTTTGTATTTTTAGTAAAGACGGGGTTTCACTGTGTTAGCCAGGATGGTCTTGATCTCCTGATCTCGTGATCCGCCCTCTTTGGCCTCCCAAAGTGCTGGGATTACAGGCATGAGCCACCACGCCCAGCCTCTTTTTATTTTCTTAATTAGCCTACTGATCGTTCAGGAACATATCGTTTAATTTCCATTTGTTTGTATAGTTTCCAGACTTGCTCTTGTTATTGATTTCTAGTTTTATTCCATTGTGACCAGAGGAGATACTTGATATAATTCCATTTTCTGAATTTTTAAAACACTTTTTTGGTAGGGTGTATACTCCAAAACATTTTTGTAGGTTCTTTAGCTAGTATCTAAAAAGTATGAAATAATCCAACATAAGATTTCTTTCTTTTTTTTTCTGAAAGCACTTATTCATTGCAGTAAAATGAAGTATGACACCAATAGGGAATCTTGAATTCTGACCTTTCATAGTATATTTTGCAATAAACAGTTTATGGTCCATTTTTCTTAAATCTGATGACCTCTTTGAGGCAGGTTTCCGATTTTGCCAGTAGAACAGGAAATATCATGTGTGGGTACATGATAAGCATTAATAATGTGTGGGTGGAAATTTGTTAATAGTCTGAGAGTGAAGTCTGAGTTAAAAGTTGTTTTACCTTGAAATTGACTGGAAGGGCAAAGATTTAAAGCAACAGAAGAATCTCTCAATCTATGAGGAGTAAGTTATGTGATTATGGTATATGTTTTGTGTGCATGAATGGGAATTTGTAAATATTGAAATCTAGGGTCTGACAATCACTATCAACAGAAGATCAAGCTACACATATTTATGTTTTAAAACTTAAATTATAAGTCTAGCTAAATCTTTCAAACAACCGGTTTTAATGTTCATAGGTACATTTCACCTAAGTAACCATTTACATTGTACAGAAAAAGATTCATCTTGAGCACAGATTCAGTTTAGGAATTGGTTTGGAGAAGAGGTTTTTTTGTGGATTTTTTTTTTGATAGTGCAAAAGTAAAACCAGTTGCTTTCTGGGGGATTGAACTAAATTTTAATCTAGCCTTTAAGACCAAAACAAAAATATGAAGGAAATAAAAACCCCTTATTATTAAATTGATCTGCAAAAACATTGTTACTAGAAATTGATTGGGACTTGAGGCCTTCTTCAGAAAATAAGAACTTAATTTTCTGGCCTGTATTAGGTTTTGAACTTTAATACCATGTATTTGTACTTATTAAAAAATGTTTCAATGAAATGTGTATTAGCAGTATGAACTTCTGGTTCAGTTGGAAATTCTTCCATTTGAAAAAGGTGATATTTGCACACAAATGTTCGAATGATTTTATTTTCCAATTTCCCCTCCCCCACACTGGATAGAATTGAAGCTAGAATTTTTTCTTATGATCAAGAAACAAAACGTTAGCATGTTACATTTTGCACGAGTGATGACACAAATTAAAATTGTAGTACACATTATATGTCACTCTATGAATGTTGACAATGGAAGAAACACCTTGCTGTAGTATACTGCCACTTCTGGACTGAAAAGCTGAGAAAGAAACATAATTTATGATTTTTCACACATCAGAAGAAGTTACAGCTAGTATGCCCCATTTTCTTGTTGACCTCATGAGATGAAGAGAGCACATAGTATTAATTCAGACTGAAGAAATTACTCAAATTTTGATTTTAGTATACTTACCATCTACATGCAATATTAAATAAATCAGATATCTTATTACAGTTTCAAATGTGTACATAGGCTCCCTCTCACTCCCTTCCATATCTATTAGTTATTGAAGTTTCTATGCTGGCATTAAGACATTACAACTATGTTTTCAATGTTTTGTTGCACCAGTATTATAAACATATGGAGTACAATATGTGTTATTTTTCCGAGGTGAACTAAAAGTACATTTCTCAAGGTTCTTGAATCTTCTTTAGCAGTATTTTATAGAGAGTCTTTTATACATTAGTAATAGATAAACCACATTGTGATTTTTTAAAAAATCGTAAACCATGTACCAAGTTTGTGGTCCAAATTGTGTAGGAGAAGTTAAATGTTAATGGCATTCCATTAAATACTTTGTGTGTACTTCTGTAAGCATAGTTATGTCAAAATAAACTTTTAAAATAGCCAAAAAAAAAGAAGATTTTGTGGCCTAACATGTGGTCTATTCTTGAGAATGATCCTTGTGCTGAGGGGAAGAATGTGTATTCTGCTGCCACTGGATGAAATGATTTGTAAATAACTATTAGATTTATTTGGTCTATGGTGCAGATTAAGTCTGGTGTTTCTTTGTTGATTTTCTGTATGGATTATCTGTCCAGTGCTGAAAGTAGGTTGTCAAAGTCTCTAGATGTTATGTTGGAGTCTATCTGTCTCTTTACCCGAAATAATATATGTTTTATATATCTATGTGCCCCAGTGTTTGGTGCATATATATTTACAACTGTTATAGCCTCTTGATGTTTTGACCCCTTTTCATTATATAATGACTTTCTTTATCTCTTTTTATACTTTTTGTCTTCAAATCTATTTTGTCTGATATAAGTATGGCTATTCTTGCTTTTCTTTGATTTCCATTAACAAGGAATTTGTTTTTCATGTCTTTATTTTCAGTCTAGGTGTGTCTTTATAGGTGGAGTGTGTTTTTTGTAGGCAACAGATCACTGGGTCTTACTTTTTTATTCATTCAGCCTATGTCTGTTGATTAGAGAGTTTAGTCCATTTACATTTAATATTGTTATTGATAAGTAAGAACTCACTTCTGCCATTTTATTTGTTTTCTGGTTATTTTGTGGTCTTCTCTTTCTTTTCTCCTTTCTCCTTTTCTTCCTTTTATTGAAGGAAATTTTCTCTGGTGCTATGTTTTCATTTCTATTTTGTGTGTATCCATTGTATGCTTTTTAATTTGAGGTTTCCATGATGTTTTCAAATAATATCTTATATCCCATTATTTGAAACTGATGACAACTTAACATTGATTGCATAAACAAGCAAGCAAAGAAAAATCTAATAAAAAATGTTATTTTTTATTGGTTTGTCTTCTAGTCTTTCTACTCAAGATGTGAATATTTTAAATATCACAATAATAGTGTTATAAAATTCTGTGATTTTCTCTGTACTTACAATTAGCAGGGAGATTTGTACCATCAGATGATTTCTTATTGCTCATTAAAATCTTTTTCTTTCAGATTCAAGAACTCCCTTTAGCGTTTCTTGTAGGACAGATAAGGTATTGATGAAATCCTCAGCTTTTGTTTGTCTGGGAAAGTAATTATTTATCCTTCATGTTTGAAGGATATTTTTGCTGGATACACTATTCTAGGACAATTTCTTTTTCTTAAGCAGTTTAAATATGTTATACCACTGTCTCCTGGCAAGTAAGGTTTCCACTGAAAAGGCTTCTGCCAGATGTATTGGAGCTTCATTGTATGTCATTTGTTTCTTTTCTCTTGCTGCTTTTAGGATTCTTTTTTATCCTTGACTTTTGGGAGCTTGATTATTAAATGTCTTGTGGTAGTCTTATTTGGCTTAAGCCTACTTGCTGTTCTATAACTTTCTTATAGTTGAATATTAATATCTTTCCCTAGGTTTGGGAGATTCTGCTATTATCCCTTTGAATAAACTTTATACTCCTATCCCTCTACTTCCTCTTTGAGGCCAAAATCTTTTAGATTTGCCCTTTTGAGGTTATGTTCTTGATGGTGTAGGCATGCTTCATTATTTTGTATTATTTTATATTTTGTCTTCTCTGGCTGTTTATTTTCAAATAGCATGTCTCCAAGCTCGCCAATTCTTTATTCTGCATGATCAATTCTGCTCCCAAGATACTCTGATGCATTCTTCTGTATGTCAGTTGCATTTTTCAATTCCAGAATTTCTGCTTTATTCTCTTTAGTTATTTCAGTCTCTTTGTTAAATCTATCTGATAGGCTGGTGAATGTCTTCTGTGTGTTATCTTGAATTTCTTTCAGGTTTCTCAAAACAACTATTTTGAATTCTTAGTGTGAAAGGTCCCATATTTCTGTCTGTCCACAATTAGTGTCTGGTGCCTAGTTCAGCAAGGTCATGTTTTCCTGGATGGCCTTGATGGTTGTGGATGTTCGTCTGTGCCTGAGCATTGGATATTTAAATAGTGAATGTAGTCTTCACTGTCTGGGCTTGTTTGTACCTGTCCTTTCTGGGAAGGCTTTTCAAGTATTCAAAGGAACTTGGGTGTTGTTCTTGGTCACTGCAGCTATATCTGCATAAGTGGCACCCTAAGCCCAGTAATGCTATATCTCTCACAGACTCATATAGGTACTGCCTCAGTGGTCTTGGATAAGATCCAGAAGAACCATCTGGATTACCAAGCAGAGACTCTTGTTCTCTTCCCTTACTTTTTGTCAAACAAACAAAGTCTCTCTGTGTGCTGAGCCGCCTGGAACTGGGGAAGGGATGACACAAGCATCCCTATGGCCACCACAACTGGGACTGTGCTGGGTGAGACCTGAAACCAGCACAGTACTGGATCTCACCCCAGGTCCATGGAAATTATAGCCTCGTTACTGCCTATGCTTGCTGAAGGTCTTAAGGCTCTACAATTATCAGTGCTACCCAGGCTTGTGTCCTTTTCTTCAGGATGGCAGTTCTCCCTGGCCCCTGGCAGGTCCAAAGATGACATCCAAGAGAGAGGGCCCAGAGTTGGAAAACCTAGGAATCTAGTTGGTGTTCTATTCTACTGTGGCCGAACTGGCCCCCAAGCCACAAGACAAAGTCCTGTCAACTCTTCCCTACTTTTTCCACATGCAGAGGTGTCTCACCTCTTGGCCGCCACCACCTCAGGCCCGTGGCAAAGACTGCCTGGCTACTACCAGTGTTCACTCAAGGTCAATGTACTTTTCAGTTATATTGTGGTGAATATTGCCATACTTGAGACTCTCCCTTCAAGGTAATGGGATCCCCTCTGGCACAGATCACATCTAGAAATTCCATCCAAGAGCCAAGCCCTGGAATCGGGGACCCCAAGAACCTGCTTGGTGCTCTATCTCCACTGTGGCTGAGCTGGTACCAAAGCTGCAAGACAAAGTCTCCTTTACTTTTTCCTCTACTTTTCTCAAGTAGAAGGTGTCTTTCCCCATGCCCACAACAGCTGGGAATGTGCTTGTTCACAACTGAAGCCAGCACATCTGAATCTTACCCAAGTACCATAGCAAGTACTCCCTGGCTGCCACTGCTGACAACTCAGGTTCAAAGGGCACGTCAGTCAGCAGCTGATAAATCCTGCCAGGACTGTGTGCTTCAAGGCAGCAGGTTCCCTTTTGGCCCAGAGTGTGTCTATAAATGTAGTTCAGGAGCTAGGCCCTGGAATAGGAGCCTCAAGACTCTTCCTTGGATACTATCTTATTGTGGCTGAGCTGTTATCAAAGTTGCAAGACAAAGTCTTCTTTACTCTTCTCTCTTCTCTACTCAAGTGAAGGGAAGGTGTCGCTCCCACAGCTGCAATCTGTACTATCTAGGGTTGGGGGACAGCTGGCACAAGCACTCCCTTGGCTGCCCTGGCTGTTGTCTCACTAGGTCATATGCAGCCCATGTGTACTGGCTGTGAGCCCAGCACAGTACCAGGACTTGCCCAGGAACTGCAATCCTTGTCACATAGACTGTCTTTCAAGTTTACTTACTACTGCAAAGCACTTTAGCCCTCAATGGTGAGGCTTGCCAAAACTCAAGTTCCTACTCTTGGGATGAGTGATTCCCCTCTGGCTAGTGCTGGTCTAAATACTCCCTCCATGCATGCCAGATGAATTCTGCCCATTGTTCTCTTCTGCTGACAGGTCAGCATTGATTTTCAATGCAAAGTCCCACAATCACTGTACTCTCCTTCCCCTAAGTGCACAGACTTTTTCTCTGCACCACATGGATCCTGCTGGGGTTGGGGGAGGTATGGTGTCAGCTATTAAAGACTGTCTTTCCAATCCTCTTCATTGCCTCTTTCAGTGATATTAAGTTAAAGCCAAGTACTGTGATTGATAACCTGATTTTTAGTTCTTATGAAGATTTGTGTGTGTGTGTGGATCATTCTTCAGTTTGGTATTCTTGAGCGGAGGACAATTGTTCCTTCTAATTGGCCAGTTTGCACTGCCTTTCTCTAATTAGCCAATTTTTGATGAAATTGTCTTTTAGTTGTTGAGTTGTTTGAGTCTGTCGTGTATGCTGAATGAATAGTCCCTTGTCAGATGAAGAGTTTGCAAATATTTCTTCTCATTCAACAGGTTTTCTATCCACTCTATTGTTTCCATTTCTATGGGGAAGCTGTTTAATTTAGTCCCTTTTATCTATTTTTGTTTTTGTTGCCTTTTCTTTTGAGGTCTTAGCCATAAAATCTTTGTCTACACTAATGGCTTGAAGTATTTCCCCTATGTTTCCTTCCAGTAGTTTTATATTTTTGAGTCTTATGTTTAAGGTTTTATCTTGAGTTGATGTTTGCATATTGTGATATACAGGAGTCTAGTTTCTTCTTCTTCATATGGATATGCAATCTTCCTAGTAGCATTTATTGAAGAGGGCATCATTTCTCTAACACACATTCTTACTGCCTCTGTCCTATTGCCTTATTCCCGTTGTGGATTTATTTCTGGGTTTTCTATTTTGATCCATTGCTCTACATGTCTGTTTATATACCAGTACCATGCTATTTGTCCTTGTCATGTATTTTCAAGTCAGGTAATGAGATGCTTTCAGCTGACTTTTTTTTTTTTTTTGTAATGAGCTTAAGAGATCCTTCTGTTTGTGTCTTCTTCAATTTCTTTCATTAGTGTTTTGTAGTTTTCCTTGTAGAATTCTTTTGCCCTTGTGGTTAAATTTATTCCTAGCTATTTTTTGTAGTTATTGTAAATTGCATTGCCTTATTGATTTTTTTTCCTCAGCTAATTTATTATTGGATTATTGAAATGCTACTTATTATAATATGTTGATTTTCTGTCTCCAATTTTACTGAATTTATCTGATTTAAGAATTATTTTGGTGGATTTTCCGGTTTTTCCTAGAGAGAAGATCAAGTCATCTACAAAGAGGGAAAATTTGACTTATTTTCCAATGTTGCTGCCTTTTATTTTTTCTTTTGCCTGATTACTCTGGATGGGACTTCCATTACTATGTTGACTAGGAGAGGTGAAAATAGGCATGCTTATCTTCTTCCAGTTCCCAGAAAAAGACTTTCAGCCTTTATCATTCAGTATGATGTTAGTTGTTGGTTTTCATATTTGTCCTTTGTTATGTTGAGGTACATTCCTTCTGGGCCCACTATGTTGTTTTTCTCATGAAGGGATCCTGAATTTTATCAAATGCTTTTCTGCATCTATTGAGACAACAAGGCTTTTGTCCTTCATTTTATTGATATGATGTGTCATGTTAATTGATTTGTATGTGTTGAACCATCCTAGCATCCCTGGGAAGAATTCCACTTGATCATTTTGTATTAACTTTTTGATGTACAGTTGAATTCATTCTGCTAGAACTTTCTTGAGGGTTTTTGCATCTGTATTAATCAGGGTAACCGGCTTAAAATATTTGTTTTTTTTTGCATCCTTGTCTAGTGTTGGTATCAGGGTAATGCTGGCCTTATATAATTAGAGAAAATTCCCACCTCTTCAATTTTATTGGAATAGTTTCAGGGGAAATTGTTTTACTTCTTCCTTGTAAGTTTCATAGAATTTGGCAGTGAAGTCATTCAGTCTTGGACTTTTCTTTTCTGGTAGAATTTTTTTTTTTGTTACTGATTCAATCTCAGTAATTTTTATTGGTCTCTTCAGGTTTTCTATTTCTTTTTAAATTCAATCTTAGTAGGTTGTTTGTGTCCAGAAACGTATCCATTTCCTCTAGGTTTTCTAGTTTGCTAGTGTATAGTTGTTCTTTATAGTCTCTGATGATCTTTTGTATTTCTGTAGTATCAGTTGCAATGTCTATTTTTCATTTCTGATTTTATTTATTTATGTCTTCTTTTTTTCTCTTGGTTAGTCTAGCTTGCAGTTTATCAAATTTGTTTATCTTTTAAGAATGCAACTTTTCATTTTGTTGATAGTTTATATATTTTTAGTGTCTATTTTGTTTAGTTCTGCTCTGATATTTATTATTCCTTTATTTCTATTAATTTTGTGTTTGGTTTGTTGGTGTTTTACTCATTTTTGAAGTTAATTCATTTAATACAATTCTGTCTAAATTTTTCATCTAGGCGTTTATTGCTTTAAACTTTTACATTAGCATTGCTTTTGCTGTACCTATATTTGGTATGCTTTGTTTCAATTTTCATTTGTTTTAATACTTTTAAAAAATTTTCTCTTTAATTTCTTCCCTCTTTTTCAGAAGCATGTTGTTTAATATCCATGTATTTGTAAGTTTTCCAAAGTTCCTCCTGTTACTGATTTCTAGTTTAACTCCACTGTGGTCTAAGAAGATACTCTATATAGTTGTAATTTAAAAAAGTGGTTGTTGAGATTTGTTTTGTGTCCTAACACGTGGTCTGTACTGGAGAATGTTCCATATGCTGTTGCGAAGAATGTGTATTCTGTAGCCATTTGATGAAATATTCTGTAAATGTGTTTTAAGTCCAATTGATGTAATTTATGGTTTAAATACAGTATTTCTTTGTTAACTTTCTGTTTAGATGATCTGTCTAATGCTGAAAGTGGGGAGTTGAAATTCCTAACTACGCTTGTGTTGGAGTCTCTTCTTTTTTCCCCAATCTAATAATATTTGCATTGTATATCTTGGTGCACTGGTGTTGGGGGCATATATGCTTAGAATTTTTATATCCTTTTGCTGGATTGATCCCTTTATCATTGTATAATGACTTTCCTTTTCTCTTTTTATTGTTTTTTACTTAAAGTCTGTTTTATCTAAGTATTGCTACTCCTGCTCTTGTTTTGTTTTCATTTGCATGGAATATTTTTTTCCATCCCTTTACTGTCAGTCTATATGTGCCTTTATAGGTGAGATTGCTTTCTTGTAGGCAGTATATAGTGGAGTGATGGTTTTTTTTGTTGTTGTCCATTTAGCCAGTCTATATATTTTAAGTGGAAAGTTTAATTCATTTATATTCAAAATCATAATTGATATGTGAATATTTATTCCTGTCATTTTACTAGTTGATTTCTGGTGGTTTTTAATAATATCCTTTGTTCCTTCCTTTTTTTTTATTATACTTTAAGTTTTAGGGTACATGCGCACAACGTGCAGGTTTGTTACATATGTATACATGTGCCATGTTGGTGTGCTGCACCCATTAGCTCATCATTTAACATTAGGTATATCTCCCAATGCTATCCCTCCCCTTCCCCCCACCCCACAACAGGCCCGGTGTGTGATGATCCCCTTCCTGTGTCCATGTGTTCTCATTGTTCAATTCCCACCTGTGAGTGAGAACATGTGGTGTTTGGTTTTTTGTCCTTGTGATAGTTTGCTGAGGATTGTTCTTTCCTTTTACTTTTATTGTTTACAAATGTAATTGATAGTTTTCTGTAACGGTAACATTGGAGTCTTTTCCCTTTCTCATGTGTGTGTTTGCTCTTCTAGTGGGATTTATCCTTCATGTGTTTTCATGATGCTAGTATTGTCTTTCACTTCAACATGTCAGACTCCCTTAAACAATTTCAGGGTGAGTCTAGTGGTGGTGAATTGCAGCTTTTGTTTGTCTGGGAAATACTTTATTTCGTATTCATTTGTGAAGAATAACTTTACTGAGTATAATATCCTTGGCTTGCAGGGTTGTTTTTCTTTCAGCTCTTTGAAGATACCATTCCACTGTCTCCTGGCCTGTAAAGTTTCTACTGAGAAATCTGGTGTTAGTCTGATGTGGGTTTTATAAAGGTGACTAGATACTTTTCTCTTGCTGTTTTCAGAATCTCTCTTTGCCTTTGACTTTTGACAGTTTTACTGTATTATGCCATAGAGAAGACCTTTTAGCATTGTATCTCTTTGTGGATCTCTGAGTTTCCTGCATTTGGATGCATAAATCTCTTGGTAGACTTTTGAAGTTTTCAGTCATTATTTAACTAAATAGGTTTTTTATTGCTTTGACTTTTTTCTTTTTTTGCCTTCTTGGACACAATAAAATTAAATATTTGGACACTTTATGGTATTCTGTGTGTCATGTAGGCTTTATTCATTCTTTTTTATCTTTTGTTTTTTGTCTGACTGGGTTATTTCAAAAGACCTATCTTCCCATTCTGAAATTCGTTCTTCTGCTTGGTGTGATCTATTGTTGAAGTTTGAATATATTTTTTATTTGATTCCATGAATTTTTTAGATTTTTTATTTGATTCCATGAATTTTTCCAGAATTTCTTTTTTAAATGATATCTATCTTTTTAGTACATTTCTCTTTCATATCCTGAATTGTTTTTCTGATTTCTTTGTATTATTTTTCTGAATTATCTTGTATCTCCCTGAGCTGCTTTATAATCAATATTTTAAATTATTTTTTCTGGTTTTCATTAATTTCTTCTTGAATATAATCTGTTGCTGAATAAATATTGTGATCCTTTAGAGGTATCATATTTCCTTGTCTTTTCATGTTATGTATTTTCATTGACATCTGAGCATCTGGTATAACAGTTGCCTCTTCCAATATTTTTAATTTCCTTTTGTAGGGGAGCACTTTTTCCTGAAGATGTATCTATGGTGTTTGTTGTGTAGGGCACTTTGGCTTTCATTCTCGGTGTGTCCATTAGCATAGTCCTTGCATGATTTCCTCACCTGTAAACAGCATCAGTAGTGTCTGTCATTTTCTCAGTGCTTAGGGTGTGATTTTTAGTGGAGACTATGTTGAAGTTTTGCTGGGAACAGAGACATTCAGATGGGCCTCAGTGGCTGTGGCAAGCTGAGTCTGCTTGTCCTTGGGCCCCAGGGCAGTATACTCTGGCACTGGTATTAACAGATACAGTTGTGGTGATTCTTGGGCCTCCAGCCAGCTTCCTCAGGTGCTGGCCATGTCCTGGATGGGTGGGTGAGTCCTTGGGACCCTGAGCAGCAATGTGGCCTGAGTGATGACAGCAGCCATGGCAGGACAATCCTCTGTCTCCCACACAGTTCATCCTGCTGTTGACAGTGGCTGTGATGGGCTGGGTGGACCTGTCCTCAGGCACTCAAGAGTAGTGCCAAATGTGGTGGATGGGGCGGGGTAACCTACAGGCACTGACAGTGTGCTCAGGCATTGGGATGGATGAAGCTGAGCCAGGAAGGCCTGTCCTCTAGCCCTCAATGGTGTATGCAGGCACTGGCTGTGGTAGGCTGGAGCATGGTGATTGCCAGGCTTTTACAGAATGCTTGGTGGGGATAGCAGTGGCTGTGCTGCAGCTCTGCTACTGGGGAGGGTGAGATTGTTTTCAGTGGCAGCATCCTGAACAGGTGGCTGGGTAGCAGGCATCTCAGTCACAGGTGGGAGTTGTAAGTATGGCAGCCTTTTCTCAAGGTGCTATTAAATGTGAGGCAGCCCTGATACTAGAGGCAGAAGGATTACAGCCAATGGGTTGTGCTTCAGCCCTGGTGGTAGCAGTCAGCATCACTGCCCAGATTCATGTGGATGATGACAATTAGGCTTCAGGGATTCGGAGATGCAGGAGCTGTTGGAGAGGCAGGGCAGGAAGCAATCCGGTAGGGACTGGCCTCTCAAAGTGGCATCTTGGTGTAACTGTTTAGGACTTGGTGTGTGGGGGGGACCTGGTGTGAGCTCCCTCTCTGGAGCAATGCTGTCACCTCATCTTCAAGCAGCTTCCTTTGTTAGTTTCAGGGCCTAAGTGAGTTGAGGCACTTTCCATTGGCTAAGATTGCAGGAATCCATGGTAGAAATGTGTACTACTGGGTGTCACTCGCTTATTCTTTACTTGTATTGGGGAACCTCTCTAGGCTCTTAGCTCCCACTGGCCCAGTAGGCTGCTTTGCTCCCCTCTCCTTCCTTGCCTTAGGTGTTTTGTCACTTCTTTGTTGAATTCCAGCCTTCTCTATTAGGTGATCTATTCAAAGTGTGATTATCTACTTGCTGTTTTGTTTCTTCTTTGTGGAGGAGGTGAATACCAGATGTCTCTAGCCAGCCATCTTGAAGCCCCTGCTCTATGTGGCTACTTTAAAATATCTAGATTTTCTAGTGTCATTCCGGCATCTTCCAGAACCCTTAGCTGCTCTATATATTCCTCAATTAGTAATCTCTTTCCCCAAGGGTCCATGGGTCTTCAGTCTCTCTGAGGTTTTCATGAGCTTTGTTCACTGCTTCTCACCAATTCCACTAGCCTGAGATCTGAGATGTGCCACTATTGGCTGTCTAAACTCCAAATTAGGAGATAAAGAGACAAATTCCTCAGGCAGACCCCAGACAGATTAAAATGTTGCAAATTCAGTCCACCTCACACTCTCTTACTCACAGAAGAGACTGGGGATCAGGCCACCACACTTCCCCCAAACTGTGCCCTGCCATACCAGGAAAGGGTGCAACAAGGCAAATAAAAACACTGTGAAATCTCCTACTATTTTGAATGTGACATTTTCTTGATTGTACACTCAATTGGTTGCTGTGAATATGGTTTCAAGAACTAGTATAAAGTTGTTTCAACTAGTCACTAGTTGTTTATTTAATATTTACATGGGAGGACAAGGATCTATAGCTACCTAGGCCTTCATCTTGCTTACTTCTTTCTGCTGGTTTTTTTTTTAATTACAGAATAAATGTATCAGTCCATACAGTGTTAATGCAACAAACAGACATTGTGTTTGATTTATTTTAAAAACCTATCTTTTGGTTCAACATGTAGTCATATGCAAAGAAAAGATACAGAGTTGTGATTCATGGTAACCATTCTATTCCAGCCCAGTAAATATGGGTAGCCTGACAAAAGCAATAAATCTTTTGTTGTTTGATGAACTGATCTCTGAATGTGCATGTAATACACTGCTTCATTTCAACTATATAAATGTATTTAGAATTTAAAGCTAACATTGACAATTTATATTCTGAAATTAGTAAAGAGCTTTTTTATTTCCCAAATTTCTATTTTTTTACCTGAGTAGAATTAATATAATATTTTATTTACAATATGCTAGAGAACATAATTTTAGGGGCTCTAGATTTGTGATTGTTTATTCTTTAGTGCCTTTGGATAAGAAGATAAACATTCCACATATTAACTTACATTATTTTATTTTTATCTTCCATTATTTTTAACAGGGAATATCTCAAGAATCAGTAGGACGAATTTGGTTTGTAATGTTACATCTGAGTACCTTTTATAATTCTGAAACATCTTAGAATTTTATAATTCTGAAACATCTTAGAATTCTAGTTTCCCTGATTTTAATTTCTTGTAGTTTGTAAAATTTTACTACTATGTATAAAAACAAATTTCAAATAGCATTTTGGTTTTCAATTAGATGAACTTTCCAGGCTAATAGTTTTCTAAGCACCAGATTTCTATCACATAATAGAAGAAAAATTCATATGCTTAAAAATATGTTAGTTGTTTATCCAAAAGTTGTAGCATTGAAACTTTAATTTGTAAAGGCATTCTAATTTCTGAAAACTTTTCTGAAGACTTTGTAGAGAGAAAAGAGGAAAATATTTTATATACACCAAGACATCTTTTTTTCTTTGCTCCAGAACACATTGTTCTCAATCATAAATAATTTACTCCCCTCCTCCACAGCTCCTTACCCCATGCATTAGTCTCATATATATTGTCACTCTTGGCTTTTTGTTAAATTTCAGCAAATTACAGCTAGTGAATAATAAATGCCCAAGTTAATTCAATTAGTCAATCAGTAAATATTTATTGAGTGCTATCATATGCCCAGCAATGTTCTCTGTGCTGTACACCTCATAGTTGAAAAAAAAAATTAGGAAACTCTGCCTATTAAAGCAGAGTGATTGATAGGTTTCTATGCTCAGCTAATACTAAAACAACTGATGGAAAGCTAAAACACTGATTTATGAGTCTCTTACTGCTGAATTCTTTTGAGAGGTCTGGTTATTTCTTGATTGCTTCATTTAATCAAATACCATTTAACAAAATGCTAAGTAATCAAATACTCCATTTTCCTGGCTCACATAAAATGCAGTATATATCAGATAGTAGCTTTTCTAGCCTCATAAGTTGGTCTCAGATTTTTAAAATAGGATGTTCAACATATACATAGAATTGTCTTTACAACATATTTTTGAAATCAAATGAATGTTTTTAACATATAATCTCTGTGTGACTACATAAAATAATTAGAATAAATTTTTAAAACTTGGTATTTTGCTCTTGACAATCTAATAATCTAGCAGAAACATTAAAGCGGATTCATATGTGGGGTCTAAATTGTGTAAAATAAAACAGCAAAAATTCCTTTAAGAATACCTAAATCATCTATAAAACTTAACTATTTGCATGCCTTCTTATGAATGTACAACCATGTACAGTAATGAAGACATATCATATATAATTGATATCTTGATATGTAGAGTCTATTTAAAGTATGATTTTACATGAGACTGGCAAGTGTGTTATAGTTGAATTCACGAACCTTAAGTATACATTTGATGTGACTCCAGTATACATCTAAATAAGTGCATTATTTTCGTTGTGTATCCACTCTTAGCCATGAGATGCAGATTTCCAACAGTAAGTACACTTTCTTTCATTTACTTTTAAAGTTGCAATTCTCCGTTAGCTCCAGCAGACCAGGCACTCTGGGAAGCAGTTAGCCATAACAGGACTATTTCCATTATCTCCAGACTATTTAGTTCTCTTCTATCTTACACATAAGGCCTTTCTTCAGTAGTGTGCCTTATATTTCTCTTCTTAATTCCTACCTCCTTACCCTGGTTCCAAGCCTGAATTACTTCTCTTCCAAACTATTATAATAGTTTTTGTACTTCTTTAATTTACTGTACACACATAGACATCTAAGATTTGTACTGTATAAAAATACATTTCTGATCATACCATACGTCTGTTTGAATGCCCTCAATGGCTACCTATTTTCTACAGAATTAGATATAAATGCACTTTGCCATTCATGATCTCCACACAGGGACCTTAACTCCCCTTTCTAGTTCTAGTTGAACTGACCATTCCCCAAATACATCCTGTCTTTTTATTCCACCGTGCTCATGCCATTCTTTTTTTTCCCCTAAAAGGCTGATGTTTTTTATTTCTGTTAGAGTTCTACACATCTTTTAAGATTAAGCTATCAATTCACAAGTAGATGTAATTTTGTCATATTTTGAGCTCTTGTTGCACTTTATTTATTGTACCTCCCTTGTGACATTTAACAGTTTTCTTTGTAGTAAAGACATTCATGTACCTGTCTTATCTCTTACTCTCAAGCAATAGTTCTTGCTACCCAGGAAATTATCTTTTACTGATCTTTTATTTCCTGTAGCACTCTAAAACAGCACCACATATAGAAGAAATACCTGACTGGAAAGTTATATATACTTATTTCAGTAATGTTCGATTTTGTCAAAAGTTTTTGAAGTTCTTTCACAATTGCTTTAGGAGCTGGCGGAACTTTTTTAAGTGCTTCAGTAGTGACAAATAATTCTCATTTGAGGGAACATTTGATTTTAAAAAATAGCCAGAATTTATTCTAAGCCACGTTTAGTGACTAATATGAATGTTCAATTGGGGCTGTTATATTTTCAGTTAAAATAAAAGGAGTGCAATGAGACAAAATCTCTGGGTGAGGCATGAACTGATAATTCTAAAAGGAAAGTTCCCAGAATGCTTTGAATAATGTCAACATCATTGTAATGAGTTTATAACACTCCAAATTTTCTACTTGGAAATGTACAGCACTCTTTTGGATGTGTATGTTCTAATATATTTGTTAAATCAGTCTCATCTCGTTGAAGATTTATTTCATAGTTTTCCAAACCAGTCTGTTTAAAGTGAGTTTGGAATTGAAATATCATTTAAGTGAGATGTGTATTACCCGTCTAATCTGAATATTGCATTTCATAGCTTTTGGTGAATGAGAAATATACCATCAATATTTCACCAAATAAAGCTTCCCAAATTTGAGGAAAGACATTTATTCAAAAAAGCCTACAAATTCAATTACTCTGACCAGCTGTTCCTGAGTTCTACCAGAAATGTAATGAACTGAACAATGGATTTGAAGTAAACGTGAGAGATTAGTTAAATATAACATTTGAGTATCATGTAACTGCTGACACAGAATTATAAAACAAAAAAGTGAAACTTCTTCCAAAATCAGATGGAATTTATAATATTTGCATACTATGTGCTTATAGGAGTTTTGTATTTTCTTCCTTACACACAATTGACTTAAACAGAAAACCACATTTTATATTTCTCAAATGTATAGTCAGTGTTTATACAAATTCTATTACAATGTTTGTTGTATCATCTTTATCATTTCATATGTAATATTTTAGCAGTTACTGGTTTAAAGTTTTGTTTTGTTTGTAATTCATTTGGTTTATCATATATTTTCTAGAAATTCTATATGGTCAATTTTGAATTATTTTACTAATGGAAAAGAATATGTGAACAGATAATCCAAAACACTTGGTATCTATATTTTTTCTAGATTATATTATATTATTTAAGCGGATGTATTTCCCTCACTGAGGCTAACAATGAATTTTCAAACCCTAACACACATTGGTGGGATAAAAAGAAAAAATACATTTTGAATAATTTTTGAGAATAAATTTCCTATCACCTTCAGCTCATCATTAAAAAATCAATTATTCACACCTTCTCATTAACCCCTAGCATTCCAGTTAATTGCTATTTTACTGTAATAGTATTTTATCTTGAGTAAAAATATTTTTTATTTTTCCTTAAAAGTATTATTTGGAGTTTATATCATGTTTAGCTTATTCCTTGCATTTTGGCATACTTGTAACTCAAAGTAAAATGGCAGGTCTGGTGGCCAGGAATAGTAACAGCTTACCTGAAGTTTGAATAACTGAGAATATTAATTTACTATTCACATTGATCATCACTCCTTGTCAATAGGCATAATACTATTTAGGTCATTACTGCTTATAATTTATGAAAAACATTAAATATTTTATTGAATGCCTTGTTCTCACTTCAATGACCTACTGAGACTGATTTGCCTTGTCAGTCTCTCAGGAGGTATCTGTTTGGAAGGGAAGGAAAGAGCAAGTGAGAAGTACACCCCAATTCTTGTGTGTCCTATGATAAAGCATAGTTAAGTCCAGACTAACCTGAACCACAGGTAACAGACTACTTTGTCTTTGTAAATGCTCCCTAAAATCCCATTAGAGTAGCATCTGTCTACCTGTGTAGCAATGCTGAGGTAATAAGGTGTTACTGGCCATTTGTCTTAGTGGTTTCTACCTAAAAAAGGACTACCATACAGTTGAATAGGATTTGTAGGAAGATTATTTCAATTTTGGGTGTGAGTACTTAGGTAAATGAGAATGTATTGAACTTGAATATATCCATAACTACCACAATACCCTGCCCCATTAGTAAAGGTCAACATATTTCACCATTTCTGGGAAATTATCAGAAAGTATTTGCTCAAGTATAAAATACTTGTATAATATGCAAGAAATATCTCCTCAAGATTGCAACATTGCTAAACTTTACTACCAAAACTAGACACTGGGACATAATTCAAAAAGAACAAATTTTATCAAACACATTTTTATCTAGAGAGGTTTGATGTATATATAATAATGATTAAAGGTTTACTTTTTCTTTTTCAGTCATACATTATTTATGCAAAGAGAATATTTCATTAAACAAATGGGCTTATTAAAATATACAATTCACCATTTTGCAAGAAAGAGTATAGGGCATAGTGAATAGACTTCTATTGAGGCCACTATTTGGAGAAACATTGTTTCAGTCATTTATACTGTAGGTCTAAGATTTGTATTAAGAAAACACATGTAGCAATAAATCCATTAGTCAGTGCTGAGTTTACAAAGTAAATAGAGGTAATGTGTTTAAGTAGTTTATAGTGCACATCATTCATTATGAAGTCATCTCTTGCTTTGTGGTAAAGCCCTATTTAAAATATGACTACAGTAGTCCTCCCTTATCTATGGTTTTCTTTTTCATGGTTACAGTAACTTGCAGTGCAGTACAATAAGATATTTCGAGAAAGGCCACATTCACATAACTTTTATTACAGTACTTTGTCATAACTGTTTTATTTTATTATTATGTTCATTTCTTAACTAATTTATAATTCAACTTTTTCATAAGCATGTATGTATAAGAATAAATGTAGTATATATAGAGTTCAGTACTCTCTGCAGTTTCAGACATCCACTGGGTGTCTCAGAGTATATTATCTGTGGATACGGGGGCCTACTCTATTCTATACTTCTTGTAACTTCTTCACTTCAAAAAGCATTGAATTTTTATTATAACAAATGTATTATCTATAGATTTTAAAACTTGCAACAGAGTCCCAACAATCGTAGGGCCCCCAACAATGCCTTAGAACCTTTCTTTTGAATTCCCAGAAGTCTGCCCCACTTTTCAATTTTTTTCACCAAAAAAGACCCCTTAAAATCTGTTGAGTTCAATAAGGAAACAACATTTTATACGTGGGGAATATGTTCTGAATGCAGATTTATCTTGAAATAGTGTGTGAAATCTTTGGTGTTGATCAACATTCCAAGTACTGTCAATAAATAGCTTACTGAGATTCCATTTATTGTTTTCACAGATTTCAGGAAACCTTACTGTGCCTTGGATTACAGGGTGTTCTAGAAAAAGAGCAGTAAGTAATCTTTCATTTAAAGCAGCAAATGGGTTTCCCCTTGTGCTGTTAGTAAAAATGCCATTGAGAAAATTGCCATATTTGTAAAGCTGGCAAAACTGAACCTTGATAGGACTACATTGTCTCAAAGGACATTTTTCAAGATCATAATATTTACATATACTGCAAATGTAATCTTAATTATAATGTAGTACTCAGCACACCATATAATCCATGGGCAGTTTTCTCAGTTTTAAAAGTGACTCCAAAATAATTCATAAAATATGATTTTTCTACATCTAATCAACCCAATTAATTTGATCAATTGAATTATAATTTATATAAAATATCTCAATCAGTACTGCATAATTTCATTTACTATTTTCTTTTAGTGCAAGTCAGTATTTAGAAATGATGAGTAATTAAGGTTTACCAATCTTATTTTGTGCTCTAGATTTCTGATACAACTGTTGTAATTTTTAAAATGTCAGTATAACAGAACTTCAGTAAAATTGTGCTTCCTCAAAGAATCTCATTCATTTTTGTGTGTAAGACCAATAAATCTGCATTTTGGCAAATATCCCAGGAGATTTTGATGTGACTGGTCCCTATATAGGAAAAGATTAAGAGGCTTTAATCATAAAAGATACATGAATTGACTTTTAGAAAGACAAGTAATCCAAAGCAATCCTAAGCAAAAAGAACAAAACAGGAGATATCACATTCCTGACTTCAAACTATACTATGAGGCTACAGTAACGAACACAGCATGGTACTGATACTAAAACAGACACATAGACCAGTAGAACAGAATAAAGCACCCAGAAACAAAGCTGCACACCTTACAACTGTCTGATCTTTGACAAAATCAACAGAAATAATAAATAAGGAAAGGACTCCTTGTTCGATAAATGACACTGGAATAACTAGCTAGCCATGTGCAGAAGAATGATACTTGAACCCTACCTCTCATATGAAAATTAACTCAAGATGGATTAAATATTTAAATGTAAGACTGAAAACTATAAAAATCCTAGAGGAAAACCTAGGGAATACCCTGCTCAACATTGGCTTTGGCAGAGAATTTATGGCTAACTCACCAAAAACAATCACAACAAAACCAAAAATAGATAAATGGGACCTAATTAAACTCGAGCTTCTGCACAACAAAAAAAAAAAATTATGAACAGCATAAAAAGACAACCTACAGAATGGGAGAGAATATTTGTAAAATATGCATCTGACAAAGGTCTAACAGCCGGAATCTACAAGGAACTTAAACAAATCAACAAGCTAAAAATCAGTCTAAATAAAAATGGGCAAAAGACATGAACAGGCACTTTTCAAAAGAAGGTATACAAGAGGCCAACAAACATGAAAAAAACGTTGAACATCACTAGTCATCAGAGAAATGCAAATCAAAACCACAATGAGATACCATCTCTCACCAGTCAGAATAGCAATAATTAAAAAGGCAAAACAAAAAAACAAAACAAAAGAAAAAACCAGAACTGATTCTCCTCAGTCTATGGAGAAAATAAAATACACTGTTGCTGGGAATGCAAACTAGTTCAGCCACTGTGGAAAGCAGCTTGGAGATTTCTCAAAGAACTTAAAATATAACTACCATTTGACCCAGCAATGCCTCTACTGGGTATATACCCAAAGGAAAATAATTCATTCTATCATAAAGGCACATGCAGCCATATATTCATTACAGTGCTATTCACAATAGCAAGGTCATAAAATCAACCTAAGTGCCCATCAACAGTGAAGTATATGTGGTACATATACACCATGAAATACTATGCAGTCATAAAAATGAATAAAATCATGTCCTTTGCAGCAACATAGATGCAGCTGGAGGCTATTTTCCTAAATGACCTAATGCCAGAACAGAAAACCAAATACCGCATGGTCTCACATTTAAGTGGGAACTAAACATTGAATACACATGATCACAAAGATAAGAACAACAGACACTGGGGCTCACTAGATGTGGGAGGGAGGGAGGGGGTGTGGGCTGAAGAACCACCTGTTGGGTACTATACTTATGGTCTGGATGTGGGATCATTGGGACCTGAAGCCTCACTGTTATGCAATTTACTCATGCACATGTACACTTTAATTTATAATAAGAGTTGAAATTAGAAAAATAAGTAAATAAAAAGAAAGATAACCCAAGTTATTTTATAATGGATAGGATACATAAAAATGAAGCTAGGACTTCAGTATTGGCCAAGATTGTCTAATTCCTTTATCCATTTTCTTCCCCAAAAAGTAGAACTATAAACTGTGAAAATAATGTAAGAGGCCACCAAAGGAGAATTCTGAAAGGATGAAAGAATAAAATGACACATTAGGGACTCCAGGAATTAGAGGAACTACAGGGTGTCTTGGTCCCCCACTTAACATTAAAAGGGGATTCAAGCCAGGAACCTCATGTCTCCCACCTTAGCAATACAAGAAAGCTTTGGTAGGCTCATTCCCCATCCCCCATCTGCCACCAGTTGGAGCAGGAATTTCAAGAACAACATGAAGTGAGCCTGGCAACTCTGACAAAGAAGATTAACTGGAAGTTTTGCTGACAATAAGCAGTCAGGAGAGCTACTCTCTGTTCCTGCTAGACCAGGACGTTCTCTCCCACATCAGAAGACACCAGGCAGTAATATCAAGGAAGATACTGACACAAAGAGTAGCTTAGTCTCTTGACTCCTGGAAGCAAGATAATTACTTCCTCTACCTAGAGATAAAAGTGGCTTATTGGCAACAGGAAGAGGGAACAAGCCACAATGGGCAACTAGTCTAAAAAGTGTGCTATGTATTCCTGAAGGATGGAGATTCCATTTTCCACCGAAGGACACTAGTTTGTTGGGCAACACCAATGGGGGTAGGTATCTCCTCACATGTGCCTGGTCTAGATCAGCTCCTTCTGTCCTCTTAGGTGGCACCAGTAGGGATTACTGGAAGCTCTAGTGGAACTAGGTAAATCAAGCAGATGAAAATAACACCACAGAAGTTATGAAAGTTGAACTATTATTGGAACCATAGCCAATAAAAGTAGGCCAGGACTTGCATGTTAAACATAACCTGGTGACTGCCTGCAAAATGTTTTTAAAAAGCCAAGCATGATTATATGTGCCTGTAGTCCCAGCTACTTGGGAGGCTGAGGTGGGAGGATTGCTTGAGCCCAGTAGTTCAAGTCCAGACTAGGCAACATAGCAAGGTCCTGTCTCTTAAAAAAAAAGTCTCCTAAGGTAGTGACCAAAGTAGACTGGAAACAATTCAAGATTGCTCCTTGAATTAAATTATTACCTTTATTACTATATAATGTTTGCCTTTGTCTCTTTTTACAGCTTTTTACTGAAGTTTGTTTTATCCAATATAGATACAGTTACTCATACTTGCTATTGGTTTCTATTTGCAAGGAATATCATTTTCCATCCTTTAACTTTCATTCTATGCATATCTCTACAGGTGAGGTGAATTTATGTAGACAGCATATAGTTGGATAAATATATATGCATCCAATACTGGAGGACCCACATAGAGCAATTATTACTAGATCCAAAAGGACAGATAGACTGTAATACAATAAATGTTGAGAACTACAATGCCTCACTCTCAGTATTGGACAGATCATCTAGAAAGAAAATTAACAACAACAACAACAAAAACACGCAATGCATTTAAACTGCACCATGGACAAAAAAAAAAAAATCCCAGCAAACATTTACAAAACATTTTCATCCAACGGCTGCAGAATACACATTAATCAGCACATGGTGTATTCACTAGGATTAACTATAGGTTAGGACACAGACAAGTCTCAACACATTTTTAAAAGTTAAAATCGTATCAAATATCTTATCTGACCACAATGGAATAACACTGAGCATCAATAATAGAGAAACATTTGAAGCTATACAAATACATAGAAAATAAACAACATGCTCCTGAATGACTAACGGGTGAAAGGAGAAAATAAGAATACAATTTTAAAATTTCTTGAAGCAAATGAAAATAGAAACACAACATACCAAAACCTATGGGTCACAGCAAAGGCAGTATTAAAGCCAAGTTAATAGCAATAAATGTCTACATCAAAAACTAGAAAAAAAATCAAATAATCAAGTTAAAATGCATTTTTCTTTTTTTTTATTATACTTTAAGTTTTAGGGTACATGTGCCATGCTGGTGCGCTGCACCCATTAACGCGTCATCTAGCATTAGGTATATCTCCCAATGCTATCCCTCCCCCCTCCCCCCACCCCACCACAGTCCCCAGAGTGTGACATTCCCCTTCCTGTGTCCATGTGATCTCATTGTTCAATTCCCACCTATGAGTGAGAATATGCGGTGTTTGGTTTTTTGTTCTTGCGATAGTTTACTGAGAATGATGGTTTCCAATTTCATCCATGTCCCTACAAAGGACATGAACTCATCATTTTTTATGGCTGCATAGTATTCCATGGTGTATATGTGCCACATTTTCTTAATCCAGTCTATCATTGTTGGACATTTGGGTTGGTTCCAAGTCTTTGCTATTGTGAATAGTGCCACAATAAACATACATGTGCATGTGTCTTTATAGCAGCATGATTTATAGTCATTTGGGTATATACCCAGTAATGGGATGGCTGGGTCAAATGGTATTTCTAGTTCTAGATCCCTGAGGAATCGCCACACTGACTTCCACAATGGTTGAACTAGTTTACAGTCCCACCAACAGTGTAAAAGTGTTCCTATTTCTCCACATCCTCTCCAGCACCTGTTGTTTCCTGACTTTTTAATGATCCCTTCCTTACACCTTATACAAAAATCAATTCAAGATGGATTAAAGATTTAAACGTTAGACCTAAAACCATAAAAACCCTAGAAGAAAACCTAGGCATTACCATTCAGGACATAGGCGTGGGCAAGGACTTCATGTCCAAAACACCAAAAGCAATGGCAACAAAAGCCAAAATTGACAAATGGGATCTAATTAAACTAAAGAGCTTCTGCATAGCAAAAGAAACTACCATCAGAGTGAACAGGCAACCTACAACGTGGGAGAAAATTTTCGCAACCTACTCATCTGACAAAGGGCTAATATCCAGAATCTACAATGAACTCCAACAAATTTACAAGAAAAAAACAAACAACCCCATCAAAAAGTGGGCAAAGGACATGAACAGACATTTCTCAAAAGAAGACATTTATGCAGCCAAAAAACACATGAAAAAATGGTCATGATCACTGGCCATCAGAGAAATGCAAATCAAAACCACTATGAGATATCATCTCACACCAGTTAGAATGGCAAGCATTTTTCTTAAGTAAGTAGAAAATCAAGAACAAGCCAGATCCAAAATTAGTAGAAGGAAAGAAATAATAAAGATCAGAGAACTAAATGAAATGGAAACTAAAAAATATATAAAATATCAATGAAACAAAAAGTTTTCTGAAAAGATAAGCAAAATTGACAAATCCTTAACTAGACTAAGAAAGAAATAGAGAAGACCCAAGGAAATAAAATCAGAAATGCAAAAGGAGATGTCATACTGGATACCAAACAAATAAAAAGGATCATTAAAACTACTATGAACAGCAACATGCCTAAAAATTAGAAAACCTGAAAGAAATGAATAAATTTCTGGATACATATGACTTACTAACATTGAACCAAGAAGGTAAAGAAAATCTGAAGGGACAAATAAAAATAATGAGATTCAGTTAATAATAAAAAGTTTTCCAAAAAATAAAAGTCCAGGATTGAATGGCTTCATCACTGAATTCTACCACACCTTTAAAGAAGAATTATTACCAGTTATTCTCAAACTATACCAAAACATCGAAGTGGAGATAACTCTTCCTATCATATTCTATGTGGCCAGCATAACCCTGATACCAAAAGCATAAAATGATACAACCGAAAAAGAAAACAACAGGCCAATATCACTGAAGAACATAGATACAAAAATCCTCAATAAAAAACTAGCAAAATTAATCCAATAATATATCAAAAAATATGCCATGATCAAATGAGATTTATCCCAGGAAAGCAAGAATGGTTTAACATACACAATCAGTAAATATGTTACATCACATGAATAGAATGAAGAAAAAAACATTATCTCAATAGATGCAGAAAAAGCATTTGATAAAATTCAGCATCCATTATTTATTTGAATTCTTGATAAATTAAATATAGAAGAAAATACTTCAACACAACAAAGGTCATATATGAAAAATTCACAGCCTAAATAATACTGAATGGAAAAAGGGTGAAAGCCTTTCTTCTAAGAATTGGAAAAAAACAAAGATTCCCACTTTTATCAATTCTATTCAGCATAGTACTAAAAGTCTTGGCCACGGTGATTAGGTAAGATTAAAAAAAAAGGCATCCAAATTGGAAAGGACAAATTAAAATTATCCTTTTTTAACAGACAATGTAATCTCATACATAGAAAAACTTAAAGACTCAAACACAAAACTCTTAAAACTGGTAAGCAAATTCAGTAAAGTTGCAGGATACAACATCAACATACATATTCAGTAGCATTTTTATGCGTAAACAACAAACAGGATGAGAATTAAATCAAGAAGACAATGCTATTTACAAAAACTGAAAGAAATAAAATGCCTTGAAATAAATTTAACCAAGGAGTTGAAAGAACTGCAATTAAAAAAAACAAAACATTGATGAAAGGAATTGAAGGATACACAAATAAATAGAAACACATTCCAAGCTCATGGACTGGAAGAATTAATATCATTAAAATGACTATACGGCCCACAGGAATCTACAGATTCAATAAAATATTTATCAAAGTACCAATGAAATGTTTTATGGAAATAGAAAAAATAATCCTAAAATTTATATGGAACCAAGGAAGAGCCAGAATAGCCAAAGCAATACTGAGTAAAAAGAACAATGCAGGAGGCATCACACTACCAAACGTCAAAATATGCTACAAAGCTGTAGTCACCACAAAAGTATGGTTTTGATATAAAAACGAACACATAGAACCATAAAACAGAGGAGAGAACATATAAATTAATTCACGTACTTACAGCCAGATGATTTTTGACAAAGGTGCCAAGAGCACTCGCTGGGAGAAGAAAGCCTTCTATAAATGGTGATGGAAAAACTGGATATTCACCAGCAGAAGAATGAAATTAGACCTCCTCTCACACAAAAAATAAAAATCAACTACAAATGGATCAAATACCTAAATGAGAGACCTCAAGCTACAAAGCTACTAGAAAGAAACATAGGTAGTGTGCTTCAGGACATTTTCCCAACAAATAGAACAAACAGCAGGTCAGGAAAACATTTTATCAATAAGACCTCAAAGGCACAGGCAACAAGAGAAAAAATAAATCGGATTGTATCAAACTAAAACGTCTCTGCATAGCAAAGCAAACAACAGAGTTAAAGGTCAACCTAAAGAATGGGAAAAATATCTGTGAACTGCTCACCCAACAGCAGATTAAGATCCAGAATATTTTTAAAAACTGCAACATCTCAACAGAAAAAAAATCAAATTTTTAAAGAAATAAGTAACCTGAAAAGATATTTCTCAAAGAAGACAAAAAAATGGCCAACAGGTATGCTGACATTATACTGATTGGGCAAAAGCTGGAAGCATTCCCCTTGAAACCCAGAGCAACACAAGAATGCCCCCTCCCACCACTCCTATTCAACATAGTGCTGGAAGTCCTGGCCAGAGCAATCAGGAAAGAGAAAGAAATAAAAACCATCCAAGTAGGAAGAGAGAAAGTCAAACTATCTCTGTTTGCAGATGATATGGTTCTATACCTAAAGAACCCCATAGTCTCTGCCCAAAAGCTCCTTTATCTGATAAATAATGTAAGCAGAATACAAGATACAAAAGCAGTGTACAAAAATCAATAACATTTCTATACAAAAACAACATCCAAGCTGAGAGCCAAATCAGGAACACAATCCCATTCACATTAACCACAAAAAAAACCTAAGAATACAGCTAACAAGAGGGGTGAAATATCTCTACAATGAGAATTACAAAACACAGCTGTAGGAAATCAAAGATGACACAAATAAATGGAAAAACATTCTATGTTCATGGATAGGAAGAATCCATATTGTCAAAATGGCCACCTGCCCAAAGCAATCCACAGATTCAATGCTATTCTGATCAAACCTATGACATTCTTCACAGAATTAGAAAAATCTGTTTAAACATTTGTATGGAACCAAAAATGATCCCAAATAGCCAAAGCAATCCTGAGCAAAAATAACTAAGCCAGAGGCATCACATTACTTGACTTGAAACTATACTAGAAGACTACAATAAGCAAACTGTCATGGTATTGGTACAAAAACAGACACATAGACCAATGGAACAGAATAGAGAGCCCGGAAATAATGTTGCATACCTACAACCATCTGATCTTTGACAAAGTTGGCAAAAACAAGCCATGAGAAAAAGATTCCATATTCAATAGATGATGCTAGAATAACTGACTAGTCACATGTAGAAGATTGAAACTGGAATCCTTTCTTATACAATATAAAAAAAATCGACTCAAGATGGATTAAACACTTACATATAAAACCTATAACTATAAAAACCCTGAAAGATAGCATAGGAAATATTCTGTACATAGGACTGAGCAAAGACTTCATGATGAAAATGCCAAAATCAAGAGTAATAAAACCAAAAATTAACAAATGGGACCAAATTAAACTGAAGAGCTTCTGCACAGCAAAAGGAACTTTCAACAGAGTAAACAGACAACCTACAGAATGGGAGAAAATATTTGTAAACTATGTATCCAACAGAGATCTAAATGTCAAGAAACTATAAGGAACTTAAACAAGTTTATAGGCAAAAAACAACCCCATTAAAAAGTGGGCAAAGAACATGAACAGTCACTTTCAAAAGAATATATACAAATAGCTAAAATGCATATGAAAATGCTCATAATCATTAGAGAAATGCAAATCAAAATCACAACAAGATATCTCACACTAGTCAGAATAGCTATTATTTAAAAATCAAAACATAAGAGATGCTGGAGAGGTTGTGTAGAAAAGGGAACACTTATACACTGCTAGTAGGAATGTCTATTAGTGCAGCCATTGTGGAAAGCACTTTGGCGATTTCTAAACGAACTTAAAACAGAATTACCATTTGACTCAGCAATCTCATTATTTAGTATATACCCAAAGGAATGTACATCATTCTACTATAAAGACACATGCATGTGTATGTTCATCACAGCACTATTCACAATAGCAAAGACATGAAATCAACCATAAGTGCCCATCAATGGTTGACTAAATTTAAAAATGTGGTACATATACACCATCAAATGCTACGTGGCCATAAAAAAAAAGGCAATATGGATGGAGCTGGAGGCCATTACCCTAAGCGAACTAACACAGGAACAGAAAACAAAATACCACATGGCCTCACTTACAAGTGAAAACTAAACATCAAGTACATATGGACAAAAAGAAGGGATAACAGACAATAGTACCTACTTGAAGGTGGAAGGTGGGAGGAAGGTGAGGATAAAAAATCTACCTATCATATACTATGCTTATCGCTGAGTGACAAAATAATCTGTACTCTAAACCCCTGTGATATGCAACTTACCTAAATAGCAAATGTGCACACGTATTCTTAACCTAAAATAAAAGTGTAAACTTGTTAAATTTAAAAAAAAGAGAGAAAAAGAGAAGAAAGAAAGAGGGAGAAAGAAAGAAATCATCAACAAGTATATGAAAAAATGTTCAACATTACTAATCATGAGGAAAATACTAATCAAAACCACAATGTATTAACACCTTACTTTATTAGGATGACAATTATCAAAGAGACCAAAAAAAAAATCACAAATACTGGCGAGGATGCAGAGAAAAGATCTCTCTTATAAATTGTTGGTGGGAATTTAAACTAGTACAACCACTATGGAGAACAGCTGGAGGTTACTCAAAGAAATATGAGTAAAACTACTATATGATCCAGCGATTCCACTACTGGGTAGTTATCCAAAGGAAAATAAATCATTTCATAGAAGAGACATCTGCACCAATATGTTTATTGCAGCACTAATTCACAATAGCCAAGATATGGAGTCAACTTAGGTGTACAACAACAGATGAATGGATAAAGAAAATGTGGTATATATACACAATTGAATACTATTCAACCATAAGAAAGAATTAAATTCTGTCATTCATATCAACATTGATGGAACTATAAGACATTATTTTAAATAAAATAAGTCAGGAACAGAAAGTTAAACACCACATGTTCTCACTCATATTTGAAAGCTAAAAAAAGTAATCTCATAGAAGCCAAAGTAGTACAGAAGATATTAGAGGCTGGAAATAGTAAAGCGAAAGGGATGATATGAAGAGATTTGTTAAAGGAGACAAAATTACAGCTAAATAAGACTAAGCTCTAGTGTTCTATACCACTGTAGGATGACTATGGTTAAAAATTAGTTATTAGTATCAAATAGCTAAAAGAAGGATACTGAATGTTCCCAAAACAAATAAGTGATAAATATTTGAGAGGATGGATATGATAATAACACTGATCTGATCACTATACATGAAATGTATCAAAACATAGCTATGTACCCCACAAATATGTGCAATTATTATTTGTCTATTTAAATATACAGCTAGTTTTTTTAAAAAATTGTCCTTTCCATTGCAAAAAAAATGGACCTTTCTCAACTTTGTAGAATGTATGTATAAAAACCATGTACTTAACGTTATACTTAGTGGTGAAAGAGTGAATACCTCCCCACTAAGGTCAAGTAAAAGTCATGGATGTCCCCTTTTACAATTTATATTCAATATTTTACTGGAGGTTCTAGACAATGCAGTAAGGCAAGAAAAATGTAAGGTATCCAATCTAGAAGAGAAGAAATGAATGTGTCTTTATTTCCAGAAGACATGATAATTTATATATAAAATCCCATGGTATTTAATTTAAAAAGCTACTAAGGCTAATAAGTGAGATTAACAAAATTACAGGATACACGTTCAATACACAAAAACCAATTGTGTGTTTATAAACTACCAAAAAATAATCAGAAATTGAATTTTAAAAACATATTTGAAAATAACGTAAAATATGAAATACTGAGGGATAAATCTGACAAAAGCTATGCAAAACCTCTGCCCTGAAAACTATAAAATATTTGTGAAAAAATTTAAAGTGTTTTAATGGAGAGATATGCCTTTTTTCCATGGGACAAAATTTCTAATATGCTAAGATATCATTTTCCCTACAATTATTTATAGATTTAAAACAATTTTAATCAAAATTTCAGGTCACTTTTTTGTAGGAAATTACAAACTGATTTTTAAAACTTATATGGTAATTAAAATTACTTAGAAATAGCCAAAACAACTTTGAAAAAACATATAATTGACAGGATAACACTTCATGTTTTCAAAACTTATTACAATGCTATAGGAATAAAAACAGTGTATTATTGGAGTTAGATGAATAAATCAGTGAAATAGGATATGGAGTTAGGCAACTTATTTTTTAAAAAAGTTGTGAATTCAGTTCAGTGGAAACAGGGTAGTCTTTTCAACAAATGGTTTTAAAATGATTGAATATCCCCATGCAAAAAATGAATTTTGGTCCATAGCGCGCACTATATATAAAAATTAACTCAAAATGGATCGTAGACATAATCATAGGAACTACAGTTATTTTACACACCTAGAATAAAACATAGAGAAAAAATTGCCACTTTTGGCTAGGCAAAGATTACTTAGATTTCACATTAAAAGCATGATTCATAAAATAGCAAATTGATAAATTAGAATGTATCACAATCAAAAACTCCTGCTTCTCTGAAGACACTGTTTCCTTGGAATAGAGTGAAACTTCCTTACCTGTTAAAATACATCTATGGAAAGCTTATTGTCAGTTAACTACTGACACATGTTGCATCATGTATGAACCTCAGAGATATTATGTGATTTCTATTATGTGACAGAAACCAGACACATGACATCACATATTGTATGATTCTATTTATGTAAAATGTCCGCGAAAGACAAATACAAATTCATAGAGACAGAAAGTAGACGAGAGTTTTCTGGGGCTAGGGATGGGAATGTGAAGTAAATGGAAATGAACATGAGAGATATTATTGGGGAAATTAAAATGTTCTAATACTTACATGTGATGTTTGCACAACTCAATAAAGTTATTAAAAATAATTGAATTGTACCCTTGAAATGGGAAAATTGTGTTATATGTCAAATGTACTGCAATGAAGTTATTTTATAGAAAGACAGGGTTATGATAATGAAAAGACAAGCCCAAATAGAGAGAACATAGAAGATCTATCTGATAAAAGGATCTGTTTCTAGAATATACAAAGAATACTCAAAACTCGATAAGGGAACAAACCCGATAAAAAATGGGCTAAAAACTGAAAGACACTTCACCAAAGGAGATATAGAGATGGCAAATAAGCAGATGAAAAGGTGCTTAATACCATTAATCATAAGCGAAATGTAAATTTAAACTACAGTGCGCCCAGTACACACACACTAGAATGGCTAAAATTAAAGACTGATCATACCAAGTGTTGATGAGGATGTGGAAGAATTGGAACCCTGAGACTGCCAGAAATGTTAAAACACTCTTTAAAACAGTTTGACAATTTCTAAAAGAGTTAACCATGCATTCATCCTATCATCCAGCTATTCTACTGATATGTATTTTACCCAAGATAATTTATAGCACATATCCATACAAAGCCTTGTCCATAAATGTTTATATCAGCTTTATTTATAATAACCAAAACCTGGAAACAAACCAACTGTTCACTAACAGGTAAATGAACAAATTGTGCATTTCTATATAGGAAAAAAACTACACAACAATTTAAAAAATGAACTGTTGATATGCCCAACAATGTGAATGAATCTCAACATAATCATGACAAGTGAAGGAAACCAGATTAAAAAGAGAGCACATACTGTATGCCTTGATCTATATAAAACTATTGAAAATGCAAACTAGTAATCATAATCATTCATTGACTGGTGAGACAGAAGAAAAGGAAAGGGAAAGTTGATTAACAGGAGGCATTAGAAAACATTGGGGCGTGATGTTTATGTTCATTGTCTTGATTTGGTGATAGTTTCTTTAGTGCATACAGATATCAAAACATCTAATTGTACAGATTAAATATATGCAATTTATTGTATGTTAATTAAACCTAAATAAAACTCTTAAAAGCGATTCCTAATTCAATTATTGGAGAACCCAGGTATTTGAATCTACTTCTTGAACTGTAAATCTTATGAAATGTAATGTAGATCAAGCTTGTGTGATGAATACTTAGTCTTCAAATTAACAAGTACTGTAGGTGCAAAATACATATTTGATTTCAAAGAACTACTATGATAAAAAATATGTACAATATTCCGTTAATATTTTTTATAAATTCTGGTAAGAACACAACACGAAAGCTACTATCTTAAAAATTATAAGGGGCAAAATACAGTTTTGTTAATTATAGGCATGATGTTGTACAGCAGATTTCCGGAACACACTCACCTTTTCTCAGCTTCTATTTTTAACATTTTTATTTTTAAAATAAAATTGTATATATTTAAGGTGTATAATGTGATGTTTTGATATAGATATACATAATGAAATGATTACTACACTCAAGCAATTAGCATATCTATCTCCTCACATAGTTACTATTTGTTATTTTGGGGAGAGCAACTGAAATCTACTCTGTGAAATCACTTGAAAATATACAGCACAGTTTGATTAAATATTGTCACCATGCTATACATTAGATCTCTATATTTATTTATCCTACATAACTGCAACTTTATGCCTTTTGACCATCTTCCCATTTCCCCCATATCCCCCACCCCTAATAACCATTGTTCTACTTTCTACTTTTATGTGTTTGACTTGGTAAGATTCCAAATATAAGTGAAATCATGCAGTATTTTTCTTTCTGTGTCAGCCCTTATTTTACTTAGCATAATGTACTCCAGATTTACTTCTGTTGTCACAAATGTCAGTGTTTCTTTCTTTTTAAAGGCGGAAAAATATTTCATTATATATACCTTAATTTCTTTATTCATTCATCAGTTGACAGGCAATTATGTTGTTTTCATATCTTGGTTGCAGTGAATGACATGAGAGTGCAGATATCTCTTTGAGGTACTTATTTCATTTCCTTTAAGTATATAACTAGGAATGGGATTATCAAATTATATGGTAGTTCTATTTTTAATTTTCTGAGGAGTCTTCATACTGTTGTTCATAAAATAGCTGTACCAATATACATTCTCACTCCTAGTGTACGAGAGTTCCCTTTTCTCCACATACACGCCACTTGTGATGGTTTGACATTTTTAAAAGTCTGTTTTTCTTAAAATTTTTTAATTTTTAATTTTTGTTGGTGCATAGTAGGTGTATATATATATGGGGTGCATGAGATGTTTTGATACAGGCATGCAATGCTTAATAATCACATCGTATAGAATGGAGTATCCAAACTCTCAATCATTTGTTCTTTGAGTTACAAACAATATAATTATACTCCTTAAGTTATTTCAAAATAAATTACCATTAATTTATTATTGACTACAGTCACCCTGTTGTGCTATCAAATAGTAGGTCTCATTCATTCTATTTTTTTTTCACACATTAACTATCCTTACCCCTCCATCCCCTGTACCTCCCCACTACCCTTCCCAGCCTCTGGTAGCCATTCTTCTACTCTCTATGTTCATGCATTAAATTGTTTTGATTTGTAGATCCCACAAATAAGTGAAAACATGTGATGTTAGCCTTTCTGTGCCTGGCTTATTTCACTTCATGCTCTCTCCAGTTCCATCCATGTTGTTGCAAATGACTGAATCTCATTTTTTTCATTACTGAATAGTATTTCATTTTGTATATTTACCACATTTGCAGGATTCATTCATTTTCTGATGGACAGATGCTTCCAAATCTTAGCCATTGCAAACAGCGCTGCAACATAGGAGTGCAGCTATCTCTTTGATATACTGATTGCCTTCCTTTTGGATATACACACAGCAGTGGGACTGCTGGATCATGTGGTAGCTCAATTTTCAATTTCTTGTGGAACCTCCAAACTGTTCTCCATAGTGGTTGTACTAATTTACATTTCTACCAACATTGTACAAGGGCTCCCTTTTCTCCACATCCTCATCAGCATTTGTTATTGACTGTCATTTGGATATAACCCATTTTAACTGTGGTGAGATGATATCTTATTGTAATTTTGATTTGCATTTCTCTGATGATTAGTAATGTCGAGCACATTTTCATATATCTCTGTCATTTTTATGTCTTCTTTTGAGAAACACTGACTCAAATCTTTTGCCATTTTTTTGTTCAGATTATTAGATTTTTTTTCTATAAAATTGTCTGAGCTCCTTATATATTCTGGTTATTGATATCTTGCCAGATGGGTAGTTTGCAAATATTTCCTCCCATTCTCTGAGTGGTCTCTTCACTGTATTGATTGTTTCCTTTGCTGTGCAGAAGGTTTTTAACTTGATGTGATTCCATTTGTCCATTTTTGCATTGGTTTCCTCCCCTTGTGCGGTATTGCTCCAGAAATTTTTGCCCAGACAAATTTCCTGAAGATTTTTCCCAATTTTTTTTTTGTAGTAGTAGTAGTTTCATAATTTGCAGTCTTAAATTTAAGTATTCAATCCTTGATTTGATTTTTGTCTATGGTGAGAGATAGGGGTCTGGTTTCATTCTTCTGCATATGCATATCCGGTTTTCCCAGCACCATGTATTGAAGATATTGTCTTTTTCCCAGTGTATGTTCCTGGAAGCTTTGTCAAAAATGAGTTCCCTGTAGGTGTGTTGATTTGGATCTGAGTTCTCTATTCTGTTTCATTGATTTATGTGTCTGTTCTTATGCCAGTAACATGCTCTTTTAGTCACTATAGCACTGTAGTATAATTTGAAGTCAGGTAATGTGATTCCTCCATTTTTAATCTCTTTGCTTAGGATAAATTTGGCTGTTCTGGGTCTTTTGTGGTTCCTTGCAAATTTTAGATTTTTTTTTTTAAATTTCTGTGAGGAATGTCATTGGTATTTTGAATGGGATCGCATTGAATCTTTATTGCTTTGGGGATTATGTACACATTAACAATATTGATTCTTTCCATGAACATGGAGTATTTTTTTCATTTTTTGGTGTCCTCTCCATTGTCTTCCATCAGTGTTTTATAGTTGTCATTATTGTAAAGATGTTTCAGTTCTTTGGTTAATTTCTAGGTATTTAAGTGTATTTGTGTCCATTATAAATTGGATCACTTTTATTTCTTTTTCAGATTGTTTACTGTCGGCATTTAGAAATGCTACCGATTTTTGTATGTTGATGTTGTATCCTGTAACTTCACTGAATTTCTTTATTCCTTCTAATATTTTCTTGTGGAGTCTTTACATGATTCCAAATATAAGATCATATCATCTGCACACAAGCATAATTTGACTTCTTCCAATCCAATTCGGATGCCCTTTATATCTTTCTGTTGTCTGATTGCTCTAGCTAGGACTTCCAGGACTATGTTGAATAACAATGGTGATACTAGATATCTTTGTTATATTCAACATGTTAGAGGAAATCTTTCGGTTTTTCCCCATTCTGTATGATATTATCTGTGGGTCTGTTGTGTATGGCTTTTATTATGTTGAGATATGTTCCTATGTTCCTTCTATCACTAATTTTTTAAAGAGTTTTATCCTGAAGGGATGTTGAATTATATCAAATGCTTTCAGCAAGTCAACTGAAACGATCATAAAGGTTTTATACTTCATTCTGTTGATATGATATTTCACTTTGCTTGATTTTGTATGTTGAAACACCCTTGCATCTTAGGGGTAAATCTCACTTGGTCATGATGAATGATCTTTCTACTGTATTATTGAATTTAGTTTGCTAGTGTTTTGCTGAAAATTTTTTGTGTCAATATTCACCAGATATATTGGCCTGCAGTTTTCTCTCTCTCTCTCTTTTTTTTTTTTTTTTTTGATGTTTCTGTCTAGTTTTGGTTATCAGGGTAATACTTCACCCATAGAATGAGTTTGGAAGTATTCCCTTTTTCTGTATTTCTTGGAATAGTTTAAGTAGGATTGGTATTAGTTCTTCTTTAAGTGTTACAATTCAGTGTTGAAGCCATTAGGTCTAGGGCTTTTTGTTGTTGTCTTTTGTTTTTTGTTTTTGTTGTTAGTTAGTTTGTTTGTTTTTTCACTGGAAAGCTTTTTATTATGGCTTTGATCTCATTACTTGTTATTGGTCTGTTCAGGTTTTTAATATCTCCCTGGTTTAATCTTGTTAGATTATATGTTTCTAGGAATTTGATCATTTCTTCTAGATTTTCAGATTAATTTGTCATATAGTTGCTTATAGTAGCCACTGAGGATCCTTTAACTTTCTGCAGTATCAGTTGTAATGTCTTATTTTTAATTTCTGATTTTATTTATTTGTATTTTCTTTTTTTTAAATTTCTTAGCTTGGCTAAAGGTTTGTCAATTTTGTTTAACTTTTCAAAAAAACAACTTTTAACGCCTGTAATCCCAGCACTTTGGGAGGCCGAGGCGGGCGGATCATGAGGTCAGGAGATCGAGACCATCCTGGCTAACACGGTGAAACCCCATCTCTACTAAAAATACAAAAAATTAGCCAGGCATGGTGGCGGGCACCTGTAGTCCCAGCTACTCGGGAGGCTGAGGCAGGAGAATGGCGTGAACCCAGGAGGCGGAGCTTGCAGTGAGCAGAGATCGCACCACTGCACTCCAGCCTGGGTGACAGAGCCAGACTCTGTCTCAAAAAAAAAAAAAAAAAAAAAAACCTTTTATTTCATTGGTCTTTGGTATTGCTTTTTTAATTTCAAAAGCATTTATTTCTACTCCGATCTTTACTATTTATTTTCGTCTACTAATTTTGGGTTTGGTTTGCTCTTCCTTTTCAACTTAATTTTTTCACTTTAATTTAATTAATGTTTATTCAGATCCTTATAATTTCTTATGCTAATTTTGCATTTGATCTCTTCTGCTTTTCTAGTTCTTGGATGCATTTTTAGGTTGTTTGAAGATTTTTTTTCTTGATGTAGGCACTTATAAAATTCCCTCTTAATACTGCTTTTCCTGTATCCCATAGGTTTGGATATGTTGTGTTTCCTTTCTCATTTGTTGCAAGGAATTTTTCACTTTTCTTCTTAATTTCTTCATTGACCAACATGTCATTCAGGAACATATTGTTTAATTTCCATGTATTTGCATAGTTTCCAAAATTTCTTTTGTTATTTATTTCATTGTCAAAGAAGATGCTTGTTACTTTTTCATTTTTTGAATGTTTTAAGACTTGTTCTGTGACTGTTCATATGGCTGTTCTTGAGAATGATCCATGTGCTGAGAAAAAGAGTGTGTATTCTGCAGCTGCTGGATGAAATATTCATCCATTTGGTCTACACTGAAGATTATGTCTTTTTTTTTTTTTGTTGGTTCCTTGTCTCAAAGATCTTTCTAATGTTGACAGTTGTTTGTTAAAGTCTCCAATTATTACTGTATTGGAACCCATCTCTCTCTTTAGCTGTAATATTTGCTTTATATATGTGGGTGCTCCAGTGTTGGGTTCATATATATTTTAATTTCTTATATCCTCTTGCTGAATTATCATTATATAGTGACCTTCTTTGTCTCTTTTTATACTTTTTGTCTTGATATCTATTTTGTCTGATATAAATATAGTGACTCTTGCTCTTTTTTGATTTCCATTGGCATGGAATGTCTTGTTCTATCCCTTTATTTTCAGCCTATGTGTCTTTATAGATGAATGGTGTTTCTCGTAAGCAACAGATCAATGGTTTTTTTTTTTTTAATGCATTCAGCCAGTCTATGTCTTTTGATTGTAGGGTTTAGTCAATTTGCATTCAATGCTGTTATTGACAAATTAGGACTCACTTTGTCCACACTACTACTGTTTTCTGGTTATTTTACAGTTTTCTCTTCCTTCTTTCTTTTTTTCATGTCTTCCTCTACTGAAGGTAATTTTGCCTGGTAATACAATTTAGTTCTTGTATCCAATGTATCTTTTTTAGTTTGAGGTTGCCATGAGGCATTCAAATACTATTTTATAACCCATTATTTTAACCTGATAACAACTTAACCCTGCTTGCATAAACAAATGAGAAACAAGCAAAACGGAAACTAATACTCTATAGTTTATCTTCATCCCCCAACTTACTAACTTTTTTTCTTTTTATTTATATCTTCTCATACTGAATATGTCTTGAGAAGTTGTCATTATTTTTGATTGGTTCATTATTTATTCTTTCTACTTAGGAAAAGAGTAATATACACATGACAGTTACAGTGTTATAATATTCTGTGTTTTTTATGTGTGTACTTACAATTACCAATGAATTATGTACCTTCAGATGATTACTATCTCTTCATCAATATGCCTTTTGTTTTGATTGAAGTACTCTCATCAGCATTTCTTCTAGGACATGTCCAGTGTTGATAAAATCCTTTAGCTTCTGTTTGTCTGAGAAAGTCTTTATTTCTCCCTCATGTTTGAAGGACATTTTAACTAGAGATACTATTCCAGGTTAAAAGTTTTTTGTTGTTGTTGTTTGTTTGTTTTTGTTTTTTCCTTCAGCGCTGTAGGTATTTCATGCCATTCTCTCCTGGCCTGTAAGGTTTCCACTGAAAAGTCTGCTGACAGATGTATTGGAGCTCCATTGTATGTTATTTGTTTCTCTTCTCTTGCCGCTCTTAGAGTCCTTTCTTTATCATTGATCTTTGGGAGTTTGATTCTTAGATGCTTTGAGGTAGTTTTATTTGGGTTAAATATGCTTGGTATTCTATAATCTTTTTGCACTTGGATATTGATATCTTTCTCTAGGTTTTGGAAGTTCTCTGTTATTGTCCCATTGAATAAATTTGCACTCCTATCTCTTTCTCTACTTTCTCTTTAAGACCAGTATTTCTTAGATTTACCCTTTTGAGACTATTTTTTGATCCCATATATGTGCTTTATTGTTTTTCTTTTCTTTTTTCCTTTCACTCCTCCGATTGTGTATTTTCAAATGGCTTGTCTTCATACTCACTAGTTATTTCTTCCGTTTGATCATTTCTACTATTAAAGGACTCAGATGCATTCTTCAGTATGCCCATTGCATTTTTCAGCTCAGTAATTTTTGCTTGATTCTTTTTCATTATTTCAATCATCTGATAGAATTCTGAATTCCTTCAGTGTTATCTTGAATTTCCTTGAATTTAGTTAACACGAGTGTTTTAATTTTTCTGTCTAAAAATTCGCATATCTCTGTTTCTCTAGGATTGGTCCCTGGTGCATTATTTAATTTATTTGTTAAGGTTATGTTTCCTGGGTGGTATTGAAAGATGTTTTTCAGTGTCTGGGAATTGATGAGTTAGGCATTTATTGTAGTCTTCACTCTCTGGGCTTATTTGTAGCTGTCCTTTCCAGATATTTTAAACGACTTGGGTGTTGTGATCTAAGCTGCATCTTCTTTAGGTGGCACCTGAAGCCCTTTAACACTGTGGTTCTTGCAGACTGGTATAGGTACTGCCTTTAAGTCCTGGGCAAGGTCTGGGAGAATCCTCTGGATTACCAGGCAGAGAATTTTGTTCTCTTGCCTTACTTTCTCCCAAGCAAACTGAGTCTCTCTTTCTGTTCTGACCCACCTAAACCTGAGGGTGGGGTGACATCAGCACCCCTGTGGCCACCACCAGTATTACTGTGCTAAGTTCGACCTAAAGCCACCACAGCATTGGGTATCACCTAAGTCCTGCTGTAACCACTTCCTGGCTACTGCCCATGTTTTCTAAAGGCCCCAGGGTTCTACAATCAGCCAGTGGCAATGCCAGTCAGGCCTGTGTCTTTCCCCTTAGAATGGCCAGGTTTCCTGGGTCTCAAGATGCCACAGGGACTAGAGTCCAATATCTTTGAAATATACTCGTGTTTCCTTGTACTGGAGCTGAGATGGCACTCAGACACCAAGATGCAGTTCTTCCCATTCTTCCATTTTCTTTCCAAAGACAAAGAATCCTCGGCCCATAGCCACTGCCACCCCATACCACAAGAAATGCTACCAGACTGCCACTAATGTTCCTTAAGGCCCAAGGGCTCTTAAGTCAGCTTGTGGTGAATGCTGCCTGGCCTGGGGTTCACACTTTAGGACAGTAGGCTCTTCTCTGGCCCAGAAGAGGTCCAGAAATGCTGTCTAAGTGTCCAGTTCTGGAATCATGGACCCCAAGAACCCGCCTGATGCTCAACCTGCCTGTTGCCATGCTGGTACCTGAAGCCAGCAAGTCTCTGACTCTTCCCAAGACATTGACATGGTACCTGGGTATCATTGCTTGTTATTCAGGGCCCAAGGGCTCTTCATTTAGCAGATAATGAATGCTTCCAGGGCTGTGTTCTTTTCTTCAAGGCAACATATTCTTTTCTGGCCTATGTTGTGTCTGGAAATGTCATCTGGAAGCTAGGGCCTGGAACAGGGCCTCATGACTCTGACCACTGCCTTATCCTGTTGTTGCTGAGCTAGTATCCAAGATACAAGATGAAGTCCTCCCCTCTCTTCCCTCTTCTCTCCTTAAGCTAAAGGAAGGGGTCTCTTTTGGAGCCATGAGCTGTGCAGCCTAGGGTCTGGAAAGGAGTGATGCCAGCACTCTGTTAGCTGTGCCAGCTTTTGTTTCAGTATGTCATGTGCCTTCCCCCCCACACCCCCACCAAGGGTCCATTGTGTCTTAGCTTAGTTTTGCCCTAAAACATGCCTAAGAGTTGCAGTCTTTATGACCTAGACTACCTTTCAAGCTTACTGGACTCTTTTTACTATTTTTTTTGTTTTTGAACCTTTGATTGCATAACTTCAAGTGCCTTTAAGTTTGTTGATCCTTTTTTTCTGCCTGATCAAATCTGTTGCCAAATCCCAATAGTGAAATTTTTAGTTCTCTTACTATTGGGTTGGTGCAAAAGTAATTGCCATTTTCACCGTTAAAAGTAATGGCAAAGACCACAGTTACTTTTGTACCCCCCTAATACATACCACAGTTTCAGAATTTCTGTTTGGTTCTTTCTCATTTATATTTTCTTGCAAATATACTTATTTTTTTCACGCATTATTTTCCCAGTTTAATTCAGTTGTCTATCTGTTTTCTTTTGAAACCCATTCATCTGCTTTGAGATTATTTTAAGTTTGTTGTTAAGCAATTCATAGATTTTCATTTCCTTAAGGTAATTTACTGGAGATTTAGTTCGTTCATTTGATTGTGTAACTTTTCTCTGATTCTTCTTGTTTCTTGTATCTTTTCATTGGAGTATGTGCATTTGAAAAAGAACAGGCCTCATTTTCCCCTATGGACTGACTTTGAATGGGAAAGACCTTCACCGGTCAACCTAGCTAGAGATTCAGAATTTTTGTTTCTAACTGACCCATTCAGTAGTTGTTTTTTCTTCAGAAACCCATAATATAGTGTTTTCTCTGTTCTCTAACTACATTAATTCCCTCAGCACTCCACAATGCAAAGGATATAAACCAGCCCCTTGAGGAGTACAGGGAATAGCTGAGGACATTGGAGTAATGCTCCCCTCCTCTCTCGTTAGAGAAAGGGCATCAATTCTGTGTGTTTTCCAAGCCTTGTATATGGTGTTGACCACAGCTGCCCCAAGCATCCAGACTATGCCAGTTTCATCAGTGTTCTGTGTGAGACAAATCAGAATCCAGCTCCTTGGGGAGTGCACTGAAAGGCCAAAAACATAGAAGCCATGTTTCACTCCTCTCTTACTCTTGGAGAACAGACCTCAGTTCTGCACCTTCTCCAAGCCATACAAACCTGTACCAACTCCAGGAAAGTACCTGTCCTCTTTGTTGTGCCAGGAACTTGACTTTACTAGATTTTCCAGCATTCTGTGTGAAACCAGACAGAAGCCATCCCTTCAGGGAGTGCACTGAAAGTCAAGAGATATTGTATATATGCCCATTCTCTTTCCCTCTCCCAGTGAGGAGTCACAGTCTTTCTTGGCACTGAGCTTTGCAGGCATGAAGGAGAGGCTGATGCAGGTAAAGATAAATTGTTCTTCTTACCCATTTCTCTGCTGCTGATCTCAGTTTTGTGTTCATCTAGGGATACCACAACTTCTTATCTGAATTCTGGACAGCTCATAAAGGTATTTTGTTACTTATACATTTTTAAATCTGTGCTTATGTGAGGAAACAAGGACTGGGACTTTCTCTTTCTTTCTTTCTTTCTTTCTTTCTTTCTTTCTCTCTTTTTTTTCTTTCTTCTTTCTTTCTCTCTCTTTCTTTCTTTCATTCTTTCTTTCTTTCTTTCTTTTTGGAGTCTCGCTCTGTCACTCAGGCTGGAGTGCAGTGGTATGAACTCAGCTCACTGCAAATTCTGCCTCTCAGGTTAAAGCAATTCTCCTGCCTCAAGCTCCTTAGTAGCTGGGATACAGGCTCCCACCACCATGCCCGGCTAATTTTTGTATTTTTAGTAAAGATGGGGTTTCACCATGTTAGCCAGGCTGGTCTCGAATTCCTGACCTCAAGTGATCTGTCCGCCTCAGCCTCCCAAAGTGCTGGGATTACAGGTGTGAGCCACCATGCCCGGCCAGGACTGGAACTTTCTATTCTGCCATCTTCCTGACATAGGGCAGGGTCTTATTAATAATTTTTTATATTAATTACATGTTGAAATGATATGACATTTGGATACATGAAGTTAAATAAAATAGGTTATTAAAACTAATTTAACCAACAGCTTTTTACTTTTTAATTGTTGCTGCTAGAAAATTTAAGCCTATATATGTGGTTCATATTATATTTATATTGTATCACACTGGTCCACAACGTGCCACACATTGTCCATGATCCTAGGGATGCAATGGTGAGGAAAATAATAAGATATAATTCCTGCTCTCATGGAACTAATGAACTAGGTCTAGTAGGAAGATAAATATTAATAAAATAATCATATAATAAATTATAAAATGGCAATTGTGACAAATGACCATGTTGGTCACTTTCAAGGTTCTTCTAGAAGCACATTTTACTCAAACAATGAAATATAATCACCATCTCTGAAAATTTTTTCACCTCACATCCAAATAAAATCTTACCAGGATCGATGCCCCTCAGCTACATTCCACCAATAAATCACCAGTAGTTAATCAAGTTTGGCTTATTGCTGATTGCAGCAGAGAAAAACACAAACCATGGGGAAGCATGGCATATCTCGATAAGATGATGTTAGAAATAATCTAGTAGAAAACTTGGGCCTTGGTTGGGTGATTTAGGGGAGGGTACAATGGAGTAGGGATTTATTCCTGATTAGATGCTGTGAGAAAGTGAGGGTAATTCTATTATTATGTTGTGGGTGACCTAATAACCTGTCTGAGCCTAGACAAAATTATGAAGTAGACTTGTTTTGTCATTATCTGAAAGTAATATTGTTTTAAATTGTCATCTGTGAGACTGTTTATGTCCAACAAGAAGACAAAGTAATCTCCCTATGAGTGTCAAGCCATCTGGTAATAATATTGTGGCCTAGTTATGAACATCAAATCAGCTTTGGACAACAGTGGCTTCTTCACTTCATAATGCACACTGTTTTTAACGTTCTATTCATATAAAAGTTACATTCCGCACATTAAGTTATGCTAAACTGTTATCTTTGTGGAAATTGTGGAAAAGCAAGAAAATGCGGAAATTACTTATTATCAAATGGACAGTCTGTATCAGTAAGTGTCCAAGCAAGAAAACAGAAAACACATCAGATGAAATTTAATATAAGAAATTGTTTAGACAGGTTTTAGAAGATTTAAAAGGAAAAACAAAACAAAACAAAACACTGAAGCAACAACAGTATAAATGCAGAAAGCAGCTATTGTCTCTATGGCCAAGGAAACAAGGGGAAGACGTTTTGATTTCCAGAAGCCACATAACAGAGAAGGGAATCTGCTGAGCTGGGACTCAGATCTCTGAGCAGGTTCAGTACTCCCTAATTATGGTACCTCTTGGAGCACAAGGAGGCTGGTTCTGGTAGTGTGGAAAAACAGGAACCAATGCTACCATTACCAACAACAAATGCCAGAATGAAGGGCTGTTCCTGGGGTGATACTGAGAGAAATAGGAAGCAAAACAGGAAAGGGCAAGTGTCTTCTTCCCTTTTGTAACTTTCTGTTCTCCCTCTGGTGTGCACTATTGGCAGGATATCATGCAAAGCCACTTGGCAAGTGGAGAAATGTGGTTTGCAGAGTCCCAACCTTAGCAGTAGAAAAGTGGTATAAAAAAGGTGTGTTTGGGACTCAGAAAATGTAGCTTAATTATCAATACACAAGAAATGAAAGTTTCCATATCTCTTAATTTCTCACATTAACCAAGCAATATGAGTATATGCTGCCACTCTTGAAATGAAAATAAGCTTGTATGAATTAGAAATTTCAATAGAATTTGTTAAATCTGAATTTTGCCTATTTTGTACCACAAGATGGTGGTTGTTCTGATGTTTTTATTATAACAAACTATGTTTCCTTATGATACTCACATAAGACTATGAGTCTTTAGTAATAAAAATAATACTAGCATATTTATTGTACTTTGTAGTTAAAATGTATTTTATTTAGAATAGCTAGTTCTAGTCATTGTAAAAATGTGGAGAGTTAGGTAGGGCAGGCATTTCTACCTCACCTTTACAGATGACAAACACAGAGTCACAATGGTTGAATGACTTGAGTAGAATGATATGTTTAGTAAATGATTGAATGTGGATTAGAACTCAAGTCTTTTCTGGTTTATGATACCCAAATCATGGTATTATACATTGTATTATCATCAGGAAAGGGAAAATGTTATGGTGTGTTTTCGGCAGAAGTCTACAGCCCTTATTTAGTAAGAACACCTTTAAAATTTATTTGGAATCTCGACATACCTGGAACAGGGAAAAGAAAAATGAAAGGATAAAGTTGGTTAAGTATCTATTTTAGTTAGCTCTGGAAATATATGGAAGTATAACCTCTTAAGCAGGTCATTGAAAATAGGTAATAATGGTAACTCTATTCCCCTCTACCCCTGGAATTTGGGAGCAAACCTGGAGAAAGCAGTCAGTAACTTGAAGATCCAGCCAGTCAGTGTAGTGTTTGCCAACCTTGCTTGATCATAGGAATCACTGGAATGCGCATGTTGGGGTAGAGGTGGTGCTTGTGAAAATGTCTGTATTCTACATGAGGCCTACTGAATTAGAATCTCTAGGGGAAGATCTGAAAATTGTACTGTTAATAAATATCTCAGGTGATTATGACAAATCAAGTTTGTAAATCACTATCTTGGTTCTACGAGTTGGGGTACACTGATTGGACTTCACTAGCTGGCAGTAATTGAGTCTTATTATAAAATTTCATGTTACCAAACTTTTTAAGTGATCTTTTTTCCAAAAGGACTACAAGTCTATGAAACTTAATTTCTTTACAGTTTCAGTTACATCCTCTCTAATTTTCTGTCAGTTCTATCTATACCCTAAGCTTTTATTATATTACTTTATCATATTTTTCATCATTTAAATCAGGCAAATAAAAGCAAAAAGGTGAAGCTAAGAAAATTTAAATAATACTTAGTGATCTACTCCCCTAAATGAATTCCATTGTTTTCAGTTCTGCTAATAACAAATTTATGTTATTTCAAGATTTCTAGGAATCTCAGTAAAGGGCTAAGAGCACTGAATTATTTTAAATATGGAATATTATTTAAAACCACAAAAATGCAATGAAGTCTCTTCAGAAAAAGAGGAATAATACGATGTCATATGAAACAATCATTAAATTAAACCTTCAAAAGTCTCATTTTCCTCTCCTAAAAAAAATAGTTAACAAGAGAGCATGGATTCAGCTGCCATTACCCTTACAAAGTGCTTTGCCCATCACCCACGCATTGGAGTGTGAGTGCCAGCAGACCAGGAACACATTGGCTCCTACACGGCAGATTCCTGATCTTGAGGGGCCAGAGAACAGCCAGGGGCTGGGTACTAGGGACCTAGAGTTAGAGCACACAGCACAGGAGTGCTGAGCTGAGCCTTGGCCCCATAATATCTTCCAAAGTGAAAGCCAGTCCACTGAGCCCACCTTATACCATAAACAAACACTCAAGGGAATTAAAGAAGATAAAAGCAAAAAATCCCATTCAAAGGACAGTAACGTCAAAGACTCAAAAAACATCAGCACACACAGATGAGAAAGAACCAACACAAGAAATCTGGCAACTCAAAAAGCCAGAGTGTCTTAGTTCTAAAATGCCTCAATAGTTCTCCAGCAATGGTTCTTAACTAGGCTTAACTGGCTGAAGTGACAGGCATCAAATTCAGAATATGGATAGAAATGAAGATCATCAAGATTCAGGAGAAAATTGAAACCCAATCTGAGGAATTTAAGGGATACTATAAAATGACACTGGAGCAGAAAGACAAAATGACCATTTTAAGAAAGAACCAAACTGACCTGATAGAGCTGAAAAACTCACTTCAAGAATTTCATAATACAATTGCAAGTATTAACGGCAGAATAGACCAAGCTGAGGAAAGAATCTCAGAGCTTGATTACAGGTTCCCCGAATAATCGCAAATAAAATATACAGAATGTACAAAACCTCTGAGAAATATAGTATTATGTAAAGAGACATATTACTCTTTAACATCCTTGCAAAAAAGGGAGAGAAAGCAAGGAACATGCAAAACATATTTGAGGATCCCATCCATGGAAAATTCCCCAACCTCTTTGGAGAGGCCAACATTCAAATTCAGATAATACAGGAAGCCCCTTGGAGATACTATACAAGATGACCATCCCAAAGACACGCAGTCATCAGATTCTCCAAGATTGTAATGAAAGAAAATATTTTAAAGGCAGCTAGACAGAAGGGTCAGTTTACCTACAAAGGGAACTCAACCAGACTAACAGCATACTTTCAGGAAAAATTCTCCAAGTCAGAAGAGATTGGGAGCCTATATTAAGCATTGCACTATTAGAAAAATTAAAAAAAATTCCAACCAAGAATTTCATATCCAGCCAAACTAGGATTCAAAATTGAAGAGGAAATGAGATGATTTTCAGACAAGCAAATGATACAGAATTTTTTTTTAATACCAGACCTGCCTTATAAGAAGTCCTTAAGGGAGAGCTAAACATCAACAGAAAGACCATTACTGGCCATCACAAAAAAACACTTAAGTACATAGACCATTGACACTGTAAAGCAACTACACAATCAAGTCTGTGTGATAGCCTGCTAGCAGCATGACAACAGGATCTAATCTGCACATATCTATATCTTCAATGTAAATGGGCTAAATGTCCCAATTAAAAGGCACAGAGTGGTAAGTTGGACAAAAATGCAAGACTCAACTGTATGCTGTTTTGATAAAATTCATCTCATGTTCAATGACACCCATAGGCTCAAAGAAAAGGGATGGATAAAAATCTACCAAGCAAATGGAAAACAGAAAAAAGTGGGGGCTGATAGTATAATTTCAGACAAAACAAAATTTATACCAAAAATGATAAAAAAATACAAAGGAGAACATTAAATAATGGTAAAGGGTCAATGTAATAAAAAGATCCACCTATCCTAAATGTGAATGTACCCAACACAGGAGGATGCAGATTTGTAAAACAAATTATTAAAGACCTAGGAAGAGATTTAGATAACCACACAATAATAGTGTGGGATGTCAACACACCACTGACAGTATTATACAAATTGTTGAGGCCAAAAACTAATGAAGATATTTGGGACCTGAACTCAACACTTAATCACGTTGATTAATAGAAATCTAGAGAGCTTTCCACCCAAAAACAACAGAAAATACATTCTCCTCATCTGCACATGGCATATACTTTAAAACTGACCACACAGTTAACCATAAAACAATTCCCAGCAAATTCAAAATTATCAAAATCACACTCTAGGATCACACTCTAGGATCACAGTGCAATAAAATTAGAAATCAATACAAAGAATAATGCTCAAAACCATACAATTATACAGAAATTAAGCAACCTGCTCCATAATAAATTTTTGGCAAAGAATAAAATTAAGTCAGAAATCAAGAAATTCTTTGAAACTAATGAGAACAAAGATACATCATACCAGAATTCCTGGGTCACAGCTAAAGCAGTGTAAAGAAGAATGTTTATAGCACAAAAAGCCCACATGAAGAAGTTAGAAAGATCTCAAATTAATGACCTAACATCACACCCAGAAGAGCTAGAGAAACAAGAGCAAATAAATCCCCAAACCAGCAGAAGTCAAGAAATAACCAAAGTCAGAGCTAAGCTGAATGCAACTGAGATGTGAAAAACTATAGAAAATATTAACAAATCTAGTCAATGGAGTTTTGAAAGAATACATAAGATAAACAGACCACTAGCCAGACTTATGAATAAAAAGAAGATCCAAATAAACACAAAGAGAAATGACAAAGGAGACATTACCACTGACTTCACAGAAATACAAAAACCCTCAGAGACTATTATGAACACCTCTATGCATACAAATTAGAAAACCTAGAAAAAATGGATAAATTTCTAGAAACATACAACCCTCCAAGATTTAATCAGAAAGAAAATGAAACCCTAAACAAACCAATAATGAATTCCAAAATTGAATCAGTAATAGAAAGCCTACCTATAAGAAAATGCCCAGGACCAGACTGATTCACAGCTAAATTCTACCAGACATATATGGAAGAGCTGGTATCATTTCTCCTGAAACTACTCCAAAAAAATTGAGGAGGTGGGACTTTTCTCTAACTAATTCTATGTAGCTAGTTTTATCCTCACAACAAAATGTGGCCGAAACACAACAGAAAAATAAAACATCAAGCCAATATCCTTGATGAACATACATGCAAATATCTTCAACACAATAACTTAGCCAACTGAATCCAGAAGCACATCAAAAGCTAATCTTCCCCCATCAAGTAGGTTTTCTTCCTGGGATTCAAGATTTGTTCAACATACTGGAATCAATAAATGTGATTTATTACATAAACGTGCGCACACACACACACATACACACAAATCCATATAACCATTTCAATAGATGAAGAAAAGGATTTCAACAAAATTCCTCATTCTTTCATGTTAAAAATCCTCAACAAACTAGGAATCAAAGAACATACTCAAAATAATAGGAGCCATCTGTAACCAACACACAGCAACATCACACTGAATAGGGAAAAGCTGGACATTCCCCTTGAACAGTGGAACAAGACAAAAATGATCTCTCTCATCTCTCTTATTCACCATAGTCCTGGAAATCTTAGCCAGAGAAATCAGGCAAAAGAAAGAAATAAAGGGCACCCAAATAGGAAAAGAAGAAGTGAAACTGTTTCTCTTTGCAGATGATATGATTCTTTTTTTTTTTTTTTTTTTTAATCTTTTTTGAGACAGAGTCTTGCTCTGTCACCCAGGCTGGAGTGAAATGGTGCAATCTTGGCTCACCGCAACCTCTGCCTCCCAGGTTCAAGCGATTCTCCTGCCTCAGCCTCCTGAGTAGCTGAGACTACAGGCACCCGCCATCACACCTGGCTAATTTTTTTTCTTTTTTTTTAAATTTTATTATTATTATATTTTAAGTTTTAGGGTACATGTGCACAACGTGCAGGTTTGTTACCTATGTATACATGTGCCATGTTGGTGTGCTGCACCCATTAACTCGTCATTTAGCATTAGGTATATCTCCTAATGCTATCCCTCCCCCTCCCCCCACCCCACAACAGTGCCTGGTATGTGATGTTCCCCTTCCTGTGTCCATGTGTTCTCATTGTTCAATTCCCACCTATGAGTGAGAACATGCGGTGTTTGGTTTTTTGTCCTTGCGATAGTTTGCTGAGAATGATGGTTTCCAGTTTCATCCATGTCCCTACAAAGGACATGAACTCATCATTTTTTATGGCTGCATAGTATTCCATGGTGTATATGTGCCACATTTTCTTAATCCAGTCTATCATTGTCAGACATTTGGGTTGGTTCCAAGTCTTTGCTATTGTGAATAGTGCCGCAATTAACATACATGTGCATGTGTCTTTATAGCAGCATGATTTATAATCCTTTGGGTATATACCCAGTAATGGGATGGCTGGGTCAAATGGTATTTCTAGTTCTCGATCCCTGAGGAATCGCCACACTGACTTCCACAATGGTTGAACTAGTTTACAGTCCCACCAGCAGTGTAAAAGTGTCCCTATTTCTCCACATCCTCTCCAACACCTGTTGTTTACTGACTTTTTAATGATCGCCATTCTAACTGGTGTGAGATGGTATCTCACTGTGGTTTTGATTTGCATTTCTCTGATGGCCAGTGATGGTGAGCATTTTTTCATGTGTTTTTTGGCTGCATAAATGTCTTCTTTTGAGAAGTGTCTGTTCATATCCTTCGCTCACTTTTTGATGGGGTTGTTTGTTTCTTTCTTGTAAATTTGTTTGAGTTCATTGTAGATTCTGGATATACATAGAAAACCCCATAGACTCTGTCAGAAGGCTTCTAGCTCTGGTAAATGACTTCAGTAAAGTTTCAGGATACAAAATTGATGTACAAAAATCAGTAGCATTCCTATATACCTATAACATACAAGCAGAGAGCCAAATCAAGAATGCAACTCCATTCACAATATCCAGAAAATGATTAAAATACCTAGGAATACAGCTAACCAAGGAGGTGGAAGATCGCTACACAGAGAAGTACAAAACACTGCTAAAAGATACCAGAGATGACACAAACAAATAGAAAAATCTTCCACTCTCATGGATAGGGAGACCCAATATCATTAAAAGGGGTATGATGTTTAAATAAATTCACAGACTGAATGCTATTCTGATCAAACTACCAATGGCATTCATCACAGAATTAGAAAAACTATTTAAAAATTATATGGAACCAAAATAGAGGCTGAATAACCAAAGGAATTGTAAGCAAAAAAAAAAAAAAAAAAAAAAACAAAGCTGGAGGCATCACTTTATGCAACTTCAAAATATACTACCAGGCTATAGTTACCAAAAACAGCATGCTATTGGTACAAAAATAGACATATAAACAAATAGAACAGAATAAAAATCCCAGAAATAAAGCTGCATACCTACAGCCATCTGATCTTCGACAAAGTCAATAGTCAACAAAAACAAGCAATGGAGAGAGGACTCTCTATTTAATAAATGCTACTGGGAAACCTGGTTAGCCATATGTGGAACACTGAAACTGGACTCCTTCCTTACACCACACAAAAAATCAACTAAAGATACATTAAAGACTGAAATTTAAAACCTAAAACTATAAAAACCCTGGAAGATATCCTATGAAGTGTCATTCTGGATGTAGAGCCAGGTAATGATTTCATGACAAAAAGGCCAAAGCAATAGTAACAAAAACAAAAAATTGATAAATGGGACCTAATTAAACTAAAGAGCTTCTGCACTGCAAAAGTAACTATCAACAGTGTAAACAGGGAGTCTACACAATCGGGGAAGATATTTTCAAACTATGCATCTGACAAACATCTAATGTCCAGATTCTCTAAGGGCTTTAAATTAAGAAGCAAAACACAAAACAATCCCATTAAAAAGTGGGCAAAGGACATGAAACAGACACTTTTCAAAAGAATACAGACACGCGGCCAACAATCATAGGAAAAAAATGCTCAGTATCTCTAATCATTAGAGAAATGCAAATGAAAACCACAGTGAGATACATTCTCCCACCAGTCAGAATGGCTACTATTAAAAAGTCAAAATATAACAGATGCTGGCGAGTTTGCATTATACATTGGTGGGAATGTAAATTAGCTCAGCCATTGTGGAAAGCAATTAGATGATTTCTCAAAGAACTTAAAAGAGAACTACCATTCTACTCAGAAACCTCATTATTGAGTATGAACACAAATGAATATAAATCATTGTACCATAAAGTAATATGCATGTGTATGTTCATTGCAGCACTCTTCACAATAGCAAAGATAAGGAATCATCCTAAATGCCCATCAACAGTAGACTAGATAAAGAAAATGTGGAACATTTACATCATGTAGTATTGTATAGCTATAAAAAAGAACAAGATAATGTCCTTTGCCCCAACATGAATGGAGTTAGAGGCCATTATTCTAAGCACACTCACACACAACAGAAAAACAAATACTGCATGTTCTCAGTTATAAATTGGAGCTTAATACTGAATACACATGGACACATGAAAGGGAACAACACATACCAAGGCCTACTTGAGCGTGGAGAGTAGAAGGAAGATGAGGATTGACAAGTTACCTATCAGGTACTATGCTTATTATCTCTGTGGCGAAATAATCTGTACACCAAAGTCCCTGTGACATGCAATTTCTCTATATAACAAACCTACACAGGTACTCTTGACCTAAAATAAAAGTTTACAAAAAGAATAATGTGGTTAATTCTCTAGCCAACAATTTAGAAATATTTAGTTTTTAAAAATAAATTCAATCAAGTGATAAGTTCTGTTTGGCTGTCTTTCAGCTTCATAATAAAGTGTTTTTTTTTCACCCGCTCAAAAATTAAATAAAAACAATGATATAAATACTTTTGGGAAATTAATAATTAATGACATTTAATTTTTAGTATGAGTTTATGTTCTTACTTAATTTCATATGAAACAAATGTTTAAATTAGTAATTTAACCTGACATATAGTAAGAAAGCCTTCTGAGTCAAGATAATAAATCCAAAGACTAAAATAAAATTGCAGAATTCTCATAAAAGCATAATAGTGCAACAGAATTCCTTAGTGGTCTTTAGTCTACTTTGTTATTAATTTTGACATAATAATCTCATATCTTGAACATTTAAATTGAAGCCATGTTAACTTTTAAAAATACCTGTGTCTGGATATATAATAGTATATTTAGATGATGATGATGATAGATATAGATAGATACATAGAGTGTGTGTGTGTGTGTATGTGTGTGTGTGTGTGTATGTGTGTGTGTGTGTGTGTGTGTGTGTGTGTATGTGAGATTATCCAGGTTTTAGCTCAAATTTCACCTCTTCTGAGGGAGGTTTTTCCTTGCTGTCTTATTTAAACAGCCACTTCTCTAGCCCAAGGCACACTTTATCCTATTACTTCACCTAGTTTTCTTAATAGCGTGTCACATTAGCCAAAATTACCTTATTTATTAGTTTACATGGTTTTTCATTTTCACAGGATTTAAAATTCCATGAAAATATGGACCTTGTCTATGTTGGCATACTATCTATTGCTTAGTAAACATTTATTGATATAGTTATATTTGTTGTTATAAATCATGTGTCATATTCTGGCCTTATGGTGCAGAACAGATAGAGTCTGAAGTTAGTCACTTAGGCAAGGGTTATTTGGACAGTACGTTTAAAAGGGTCTGTTGAGCATGGGATTTACAGATTCACGGACACATATTGTGTTTGGTAAATACTGGCGGCTTCGTAAATTTAAATTCATGCCCCACTGCTAACTATTTGTATAACATTAAGCAAATTATTTAACCGCTCTGAATCTCAGTTTCCAATTCTATAATAATCTAAATAATAATAAATACCAGACAGGCTTATTTTGGTGATTAAATGATATAAATTTGAAAGTGCTCATTAATGTTATATATTGCTGTTGCATAGATCTTTTCGGTTTGCTAATCATGGTTTTGGATTAGCGTCTAGTTTACTAAAAGGATTTATAGTTGATGATTCAAATCATGTTTGCTCCAAGAAGAGAAAAACAGTTTGTTATAACAGATTAGTAGCATTCCGTAATACTTTACACACACACACACACACACACATATATATATATATATATAGCTTGTGAGGCTCTTGATCCACAGTTCCAAATAGAAAAGCAAAAAAAAAAAAAAAAAAGCAGAAAATCCAGTAGTCAATGCTACAGTCATCTAACTGAATCTCAAGAAGTGATATGACAGTATCATTTGCAACAACTAAGCACGAAATACTCTTTAAACATTACAGAATAAAAATATTGTTCACAGATAGTTTTAATTCACTTAATGCTACTTTTGAGAAGCATTTCTTCTTGTCTGCTCCCTTCTGTTTGGGTGGACTTTTAAAATAGTTATTAACTAGTATATACACACATTTAAAATATTAAAACTGTAACAAGTGAAAGTATTGGTCTGGTTTGTAGGAGGTTCCAATATATCTCATGTAGAATATTTAGTTAGGACTTTAGAGAAAATAAGTTGGACTTAGTTATGAATATTTTACAAGTTGTGTGACTAAATTTCATGAGACTGGAACTTCTCTATGAAGGATAGATAGATGATGATAGTGACAATGGTAATTAGATAGATTGATGTTTGAATTAAAACCTTGAAATTCTTAATGTTTTGCAGGGTTTTAAAAATAATATTCACTATACACAAAAATTATCAACTGAATTTGCTTTTTTCCGTTCATATTAATGGAAAATCAGTACTGGTAAAATTTCAACTCAATGAATATTCTTATATTAAAATTTTCATACAATGTATAGGCAAATCTAGATTTCCTTTTTCCAAAAGAAAACCCAGTAGAAAAACTGTGTGCTTCATTCTCTATTTAATTACCCATCTATATTGAGAAAATAAGTGATGGTATGCACTTTGCATAAGGGGAAAATCTCATGATATTGTTTTCCAAGAAGTAATATTTAATTCCCCTTATTCTGTCTACTTCATACACCTCACCTTTCAAATTTCTCAACCATATCCAAGTACTTAAGAAACTGGAAGTATAAATGTAGTTAAAAGTATAAATATTTGTATGACACCCCCTGCTTTCTCCTTTTGACTCGTAGAAATCAATTAACTCTATTTATATCTCACTTCTATAAACCTTCATTTTCTGTTTGTATGTCCTGTGTCCTCAAGAATCTTCTATTCTATCACCTAAAACACTTAATACACTTCTGAACCTTTACCTTTAAACATATTGAATTGAATTGGTACTGTATTATGCTACAGTATTCTTAACCTTAGATCAGATGTTATGAATTAATTCAATTATTGGACAAAAATTCATTTAGTGATTTTTCAAAACCTGCTGGTTATTTCTAAGTTTGTCGAATCATGCCATTGCTGTAATATCCTACAGATGTGACACAGCTATATTAATAATATTAAGAAAACAGTGGGGAATGCATGCAATAGAAGACACAGAAGGTCTAAATGTTTCACAATGTAATAGTTTGCTTTAAAATATATTTGTATATTGTAGATGCTTTTTACACTCTAAAAATCTAAATCAATCAATTCTTGTCAGGAATCAGATGGCTAGAACAGTTCCTTGTCAGTTTAGATCAGCTCTCTTTTTAAAATGTTAATCAAAATTAAAAATTATAAAGTCAATTTAATAATGAGATTACCAGTCTGATTCATTTAAAGATGCTTTAAAGCAGCACATTGTTTTTTCCTCCCTGTCTTTCCCTGTCGGCACCTGCTTAGCCCTTCAAATTATTACAGGGCTATTCCTAGCCATGCACTACTCACCAGATGCCTGACCCGCCTTCTCATCAATCGCCCATATCGCAAAAAGAATTAACATGCTTTTTGTTCTGACTTAGTAAGTGTGTACCTGGTAGAACATGTTTATCTTCTTTTCAGTGGATATCACATAACACTTCTATGAAAGGTTAATATACTATGCTTTTGTGATAAACATTTTGAAATGCGTTTGTCTCTTAATTTTGAGAAAGTCTAAAATAAGTTGAAACAGCTTAGTTTATAGGACATTGTACATAATTTTTGAAGAAGGTTCACTATTTGCCTGAATATTGTAGCACAATGTCACTTAGGCTGGTTAACAAATCTATAATTTGTAGTTTAATTTTGAGCTATTGGCCAACTGAAAATTCTGTATTAAGGTGCTGGGTGCCCAGTCCATTACAATATATTCAAATTAGTAAAATCTAAGATCAGCACTAAATCAGTCCACAGATTTCAGTGTACTTAGAACTTAAAATCTCATTTGGGCACTGATTCCTTGTTGTCATTTGTTAAACTATGAAGTAGAGACATAGATTTTTAACTTTTTGTGATAAGATAGCTCCCAAATGATAATTTTGTAGTATATTAAATTTTAAAGTTTAGGAGTCTTAATTCCATCAAAATAAAATTTAGCTTTGTTTACTATTACATAGAAAAAAATCTAAAAGACATTTCATTTAACCTTTATTTTTATTTATCAGTGTTTCAGAATTTTCTTATTTAGATTTAGAATGTTTAATGCTTCAAAGTCAAGGTTACTGAAAAGTTTGACCAGAATCTAGCATTTTCTATATGTCAATAGTATATACTATATTCTAAGATGATTGATATAAATGAGTTAGTTAACAGTGACTTTTTTTCCCCCAAAGTTGTAAGGGGGTAAATAGCTTCAGTATTTAAAATATATTTCCTAAGCAAGCATAAATTTTAGAGTAAATACATTTTCAAACTAAAAAATATAATTAAAGCTATTAACATTATTCTGAAAATATAACCTGAAAGTTTCGTGCAAGGGTAATCTTCCATAGTGTTCTTAGTATGAAAATTCCATGTGATTTTTATTTTACACGTTTTAGATTAAAAGGCTATCAACCTACTGTAATGGCTAAATCCAAAACACTAAAAATTCCAATTATTGATGAGGAACAATAGTAATTCACATTTATTGCACGTGGGAATATAAAATAGTACAGCCACTTTGGAAGACTGTTGGCAGTTTCTTACAAAGTTAAACAGTCTTACCATATGATTCAGCAATTACATTCTTAGGTAGTTACCCAATTGATTTGAAAATTTACATTCTCACAAATCCTACAAACAAATGATTATAGCAGCTTTACACATAATTATAAAAAAAACAGGAGATGGAAACAACCACGATGTCTTTCAATAGGCAAATGGGCAAGCAAATAGTGGTACATCAGTACAATGGAATACTATACACTGTATGATTCTATTTATATGAAATTCTGAAAAGGGCAAACTATAGAAACGGTAAATAGATCAGTGGTTGCCAGGGATATAGAGGAGGGTTGGTTCAGTAGGTAAAACGTAAGATATTTGTTATGATAGTCAAACTATTCTATATGGTACTATAATATTTAATACATAACACTGTAAGTTTGACAAAGCATAGAATGTTACAGCCAAATGCTGTAAAAATATGCATAAGAGCTACAATGGATTGGACAAAAACTCAACTTTTCAAAACAAAATTGGCAGTAGAGTATTTCTCAGGTTCTACATATTCTTTTTTATTTTACTTTAAGTTCCAGAATACCAGTGCAGAACATGCAGGTTTGTTACATAGGTATACATGTGTCATGGCGGTTTGTTGCACCTATCAACCCATCATCTCGGTTTTAAGCCCCACATGCATTAGCTATTTGTCCTAATGCTCTCTGTCTCCTCAACCCTCACCCTCCGACTGGCCCCAGTGTGTGTTGTTCCCATCCCTGTGTCCATGTGTTCCCATTGTTCAACTCTCACTTAGGAGTGACAACATGCAATGTTTGGTTTTCTGTTCCTGTGTTAGTTGCTCAGGGTGATGGCTTCCAGCTTCATCCATGTTTCTGCAAGGGACATGATTTATGCCTGCATGTATTTCATGGTGTATATGTACCACATTTTATTTTTCCAACCTATCATTGATGGGCATTTGGGTTGGTTCCATGTCTTTGCTCTTGTAAATAGTGCTGCAATAAACATACGTGTGCATGTGTCTTTATACCAGAATAATTTATATTGCTTTGGGTATATACCCAGTAATGGGATTGCTGGGCCTAATGATATTTCTCATTCTAGATCCTTGAGGAATCGCCACACTGTCTCCCACGATGGTTGAACTAATTAGCAAACCCACCAACAGTGTAAAATCTTTCCTATTTCTTCACAGCCTTGCTTGCATCTGTTGTTTCTTGACTTTTGTATAATTGCTATTAGGCTTGTGTGAGATGGTATCTCATTGTGGTTTTGATTTGCATTTCTCTAATGATCAGTGATGCTGAGCTTTTTTTCATGTTTCTTGGCCACATAAATGTCTTCTTTTGAGAAGTGTTTGTTCATATCCTTTGCCCACTTTTTGATGGGGTTATTTTTTAATTTTCTTGTAAATTTGATTAAGTTCCTTGTAGATTATTCTGGATATTTAGACCTTTGTCCGATGGATATATTGGAAAAAAGTTCTCCCATTCTGTAGGTTGCCTGTTCACTCTGATGATAACTTATTTTGCTGTGCAGAAACTCTTTAGTTTAATTAGATCTCATTTGTCAATTTTGGCTTTTGTTGCAATTGCTTTTGGTGTTTTTATCATGAAGGCATTTCCCATGCCTATATCTTGAATGGCATTGACTAGGTTTTCATCTAGAGTTTTTATGGTTTTGGGTTTTACATTAAAGTCTTTAATATATCTTGAGTTAATTTTTGTATAAGGTGTAAGGAAGGGATCCAGTTTCAGTTTTCTGCATATGGCTGGCCAGTTATCCCAGCACCATTTATTAAACAGGGAATCCTTTCCCCATTGCTTGTTTTTGTCAGGTTTGTCGAAGATCAGATGGATGTACATGTGTGGTGTTATTTTTGAGGTCTCTGTTCTGTTCCATTGATCTATATGTCTCTTTTGGTACTAGTACTGTGCTGTTTTGGCTACTGTAGCCTTGTAGTATAGTTTGAAGTCAGGTAGCATGATGACTCCAGCTTTGTTCTTTTTGCTTAGGATTTTCTTGGCTGTACGAGCTCTTTTTTGGGTCCATATGGAATTTAAAGTAGTTTTTCTATTTCTGTGAAGAATGTCAATGGTAGGTTGATGGGAATAGCATTGTATCTATAAATTACTTTGGGTAGAATGGTCATTTTCACAATATTGATTATTCCTATCCATGAGGATAGAATGTTTTCCAATTGGTTTGTGTCCTCTCTTATTTCTTTGAGCTGTGGTCTGTAGTTCTCCTTAAAGAGGTCCTTCACATCCCTTGTTAGACGTATTCCTAGGTATTTTATTCTTTTTTTAGCAATTGTGAATGGGAGTTTGTTACGATTTGCCTCTCTGCTTGACTTTTGTTATTGTATATGAATGCTTGTGAGTTTTGCACATTGATTTTGTATCCTGAGATTTCGCTGATGTTGCTTATCAGCTTAAAAAGTTTTTAGGCTGAGACTATGGAGTTTTCTAAATATAGAATCATATTGTCTGCAAACAGAGACAATTTGACTTCCTTTCTATTTGAATGCCCTTTATTTTTTTCTCTTGCTTGATTGCCCTTGCCACACCTTCCAATACTATGTTGAATAGGAGTGGTGAGAGAGAGCATCCTTGTCCTGTACCGGTTTTCAAAGGTTCCAGCTTTTACCCATTCAATATGATATTGGCTGTGGGTTTGTCATAAAATAGCTCCTAATATTTTGAGATATATTCCATCAATACCTAGTTTATTAAGAGTTTTTAACATGAAGAGATGTTGAATTTTATCAAAGGCCTTTTCTGCATGTATTGATATATTAATGTGGTTTTTGTCATTGATTCTATTTATGTAATGGATAACATGTATTGATTTGTGTATGTTGAACCAGCCTTGCATCCCAGGGATGAAGCTGACTTGATCATGGTGGATAAGCTTTTTGATGTGCTGCTGGATTCAGTTTGCCAGTATTTTATTGAGGATTTTCACATCGGTGATTATCAGGGATAATGGCCTGAAGTTTTTTTGTGTGTGTGTTCCTGCCAGATTTTACTATCACTATGATGCTGGCCTCATAAAATGAGTTAGGGAGTAGTCTCTCCTTTTCAATTCTTTGGAATAGTTTCAGAAAGAATGGTATCAGCTCCTTGTTGTACCTCTGGTAGAATTTGGCTATGAATATGTCTGCTCTTGGGCTTTTTTTTAGTTAGTAGGCTATTAATTACTGCCTTATTTTCAGAACTTGTTATTGGTCTATTCAGGGAATAGATTTCTTCCTGGTTTAGTCTTGGAGGGTGTATGTGTTCAGAAATTTATCCATTTCTTCTAGATTTTAAAGTTTATTTGTGTAGAGGTATTTATAATATTATCTGATGGTAGTTTGTATTTCTGTGGGGTCAGTGGTGATATCCCCTTTATCATGTTTTATTGTTGTCTATTTGATACTTCTCTCTTTTCTTCTTTATTAGTCTAGCTAGTGGACTATTTCGTTAATTTTTTCAAAAAACAGCTCCTGGATTTATTGTTTTTTTGGGGGGGGGTTTGTGTCTCTATCTCCTTCAGTTGTGTTCTGATCTTAGTTATTTCTTGTCTTCTGCTAGCTTTTGGATTTCTTTGCTCTTGCTTCCATAGATCTTTTAATTGTGATCTTAGGGTGTTGATTTGAGATGTTTCCAGCTTTCTGATGTGGGCATTTAGTGCTATAAATTTTCCTCTTAAAACTGCTTTAGCTGTGTTCAAGATATTCTGGTATGTTGTTTCTTTGTTCTTATTCATTTCAAAGAATTTCTTGATGCCTGCCTTAATTTTGTTATTTACCCAGGAGTCATTCAGGAGCAGGTTGTTCAATTTTCATGTTATTGTGTGGTTTTGAGTGAGTTCCTTAATCCTGAGTTCTAGTTTTGTTGTACTGTGGTCTGAGGGACTGTTTTTTATGATTTCAGTTATTTTGCATCTTTTGAGGAGTGTTTTACTTCCAATTACGTGATCGATTTTAGAATAAGTGCCATGTGGCACTGAGAAGAATGCATATTCTGTTGATTTGTGGTGGAGAATTCTGTAGACGTCCATTAGGTCCACTTGATCCAGAACTGAGTTCACGTCCTAAATATCCCTGCTAATTTTGTCTCTCAATCTGTCTAATATTGACAGTAGGGTGATAAAGTCTCCCACTATTATTGTGTGAGAGTCTAAGTCTCTTTGTAGGTCTCTAAGAACTTGTTTTGTGAATCTGGGTGCTCCTGTATTGGGTGCATATATATTTAGGTTAGTTCTTCTTCTTGAATTGATGCCTTTACCATTATGTAATGCCTTTCTTTGCCTTCTTTGATCTTTGTTGGTTTAAAGTCTGTTTTGTCAGAGACTAGGATTGGAATCCCTGCTTTTTTGTTTTCCATTTGCTTGGTAAATTTTCCTCCATCCCTTTATTTTGAGCCTATGTTTGTCTTTGCACTTGACATGGGTCTCCTGAACACAGCACATTGATGGGTCTTGACTCTTTATCCAATTTGCCACTCCATGTCTTTTAATTGGGGCATTTGGCCCATTTACATTTAAGGTTAATATTGTTGTGTGTAAATTTGATCTGTCATCATGATGCTATCTGGTTATTTTGCACACTAGTTGATGCAGTTTCTTCATAGTGTCATTGGCCTATATATATATATGTGTGTGTGTGTATATATATATACATACACACATACTATATATATATGGTGGGCCACCGCACCACACTGCTCTTCCTTTCTCTCTGTGGGTCACACCAGCTACCTAGTCAGTCCCAGGATGAGAGAACCTGGATACCTTGGTTGCCGGTGCAGGATTCTCACGCTGTTATGGTTATTTTCAATGACAGCCTCTGATTGCTGCTGCTTCTAGTCAGCCATCTTTCAGGTTCTACATTTGTCTGCTTCAATCAATAACATTTATCCACATTTTAGATTCAAGTCTTGTTATAGGACAATTCTTCACTTGAATGCCTTATTGTTAAACATATTAAAGATAGCAAAATAGACTGGAGGTACTTCAAGATGGCTTATAGAGACATCTCATACTCACCTTCACCACAAATAAGAAGCTAAATAGCCAGTAGGTAATCACACTTTGAATAGATTATCCAAAAGAGAACACTGTGGTTCAACAGAAAAGTGACAGGAAATACCTAAAGCACAGAAAGAGAGGGAAGAAAGGCAGCCTCCTCAGCTGGGTTCTGCCTGGAGACTGGTGAGACTCCCAAATGTGGGTAAATGGTAAGTGAGGGATCCCCAGCAGTCCACCTTTCTACCGTGGACTCCTGCAATCTTAAACATGGAAGAGCCTCTTGACCCATGCAGACCCTGCAACTAACAGGGAGCTGCCTGAAGACCACATGATGACACTGCCCAAAGAGGGAACTTGTGCTGTATCCGACCTCCTTGCTGCTCCAAGTTCTAGGCAACTATTGCAAGGTGCCATTTTGAGATCCCAGATCCCAAGACTAGATATGGCCATTGGTCTCAACAGTACCTTCATCTCCACATCCCTGGAGCTTCACTGACATCCCCTACCCACAAACACCACACTGGCTGACGGCTATCAGCAGGGCCAAAACATGGGCAACAGGCAGTGACTCCACTGCCTCCAGGAGAGAAGCCACCATGCAGTGGCAGAATTCCTTAAGTGTAGCTTCAGTTGCTGCATGTTGAAGATGAATTTTGAGTGAAGTGTTGACTGACATTGTGGGAGACAAAGTGTGAGCAAAGAGCATGCTCCCCATACACCTGCATATGGCAGCTGCCACTGAAAGCAACCCCACCCTTCCCAGTGACAAGGCTTCAGTGCAGCTGCTGCCTCTCTTTAGCATTCTACTTGTGGCCTAAGGATTACTCTGTCCCTACCTACCACAACCAATGTCAGTATGCACCACTGTGAGGCCCTAGAACATGCCCATTTAGTCCAGCTTCACCCCCTCATGCCAGAGTATGCAGTCCAGGGGTCTAGGGATCACCCAGCCTGTCTCCTTGAGCACTCCTCCCAGGGAACTGAGGTTGAGCACACCCACCCTGCTGATACTGCCACAGCTGACACTTACAGGCACACACTACCTGAGGACCTGGAGACTGGCCTTCCCAACCCATTGGGGATGCCAACAACACTAGCATTTACTGCTCAAAACCCAGAGAGATATACCACCAATGCTACTGCAATTGCCCATGCCACATCTGCTGTATAGCCTGAGAACTTTCCCACCCATCTGGCCACCACAGCCACAACTGAAATCCAAGCAAACAATGTAGAGGCCCAAGAATCAGCTCCCATAGATCCACTAACACAGGTGCCATAATACTCTGCCTTAGGGCCCAAGGATAGGCAGACTCAGACTACCAATGCCACCACTGGGGTCCAGTCTCAGGCAGAACTTCACTACAGCCTCCAGTAATAACTGCACACTAAAACATCAAGGATATCATAGATACCAATAATGCTATTTACAGAAAAAGAAATCATACAGCGAGTATTCTACTGCATGCACCCAGAATCAAAACCAAAGTGGCCTACCCAACCAACACCATAGATGTATCTTCAGGAAAATGTCTTCCCCTATGAAAACAAATTCAAAAAAATTAGAAGCAATTGTTACACTACATGTGCAGATATCAACATAACAACATAGAGAACGTGAAAATGCAAAGAAATATGACACCTACAAAGGAGCACAATAATTCTTCAGAAATAGATCCAAATCAAAAATAAATGTACAAAATCTTGGAAAATAATTTGTAATAATGATTTTTGAAAACTCAGGGAGATACAAAAGAATACCGAAAACCAATATACAGGAATCAGAAAATTCAGGATATGAATGAGAAATTTGCCAGAGATAGACATCATTAAAAAAATTCTGGGACTAAATAATTCATTGAATGAAGTTCAAAATATATTGGAAAGTTTTAATAATTGATTAAATCAAGTAGAATAAAGAATTTCAGAACTTGAAGACAGATCTTTTGAAATAACCCAGTCAGACAAAAATAAAGAGAATTAAAAAAGATGAACAAAGCCTACATTACATATGGAACACCATAAAGGGACCAAATATTCAAATTTGTGGAGTCCCAGGAGGTAAAGAAAAAATGAATGGGTTAGAAAACATAGGTGATGAAATAATAGGTGAAACCTTTCCAAGTCTAGCAAAAGATTTAGGTATCCAAATACAGGAAGCTCAGGAAGCCTTAAGCACTCACAATGCATAAAGGTCTTTTCCATGGCACAATTTAGCGAAACTTTCTAAAGTCAAAGAAAGAGAGAGAATTCTAAAAACATTAAGGAAAAAGCATCTAGACACCTATAAATGAACCCGCATTTCACTAATAGCAAAATTTTCAGCAGAAACCATACAGGCCGTGAGAGAATGGGATGATATAATTAAAGTATTGGGGAAAAAAAAAAAACTTGCCAATAAAGGATACTACTCTCAATGATGTTATTCTTCATAAATGTAGGAAAAGTAAAGTATTTTCCAGACAAATAAAAGCTGATAGAATTTATCACAACTAGACCAGACCAAGAAATACTTAAGGAAGTACAACAGCAACACACAAAAGAATGATATCAATCATCATGAATACATACAAACATATAAAACCACTAGGAGAGCAAACACACAAACAAAAAAGAAAAAAGACTCAACTCTTACCACTACAGAAAACCACCAAGCCACAACGATGATATGAGAGAAAACAACAATTTATATGCAAAACAACCAGAAATCAATTCATAGGATGACAAGAATAAACTCTGATATAGCAATAATAACCTTAATTGTAAATGGATTTATCTATCCACTTAAAAGATGTAGACATGCTGAATAAAAAAAGTGACCCAGTTATATGCTGCCTACACAAAACTATTCTCACTTGTAAAGACACATATAGGCTGAAAATAAAGGGTTGGAAAAAGATATTTCATGCAAATAGAAACCAAAAGCAAGCAGAGGTAGCTATACTTACATCAGATAAAACAGATGTTAAATAAAAAAAAACTGAAAAGAGACAAAGAAGGTCATTGCATTATGATGAAGGGATCAACTCAGCAAGAGAATGTAATAATTCTAAACATATGTGCATCAAGCACTGGAGCACCTAGATATATGAGGCAAATTGTATTACACTTAAATGGAGAGATAGACTCCAATACAATAATAACTGGGGACTTCAACACACCACTCTCAGCATTAAACCAATCATCTATAAGAAAATTAGCAAAGAAACATTGGACTGAAACTGCATTTTAGACCAAGCGGACCTAACATACATTTATAAAAATTTCATCCAAGAACTACAGAACACACATTCTTCTTATCGAAACATAAAACTTTCTCCAGGATACAACATATGATAAGACAAAAAACAAGTCTCAAGAAATTTTTAAAAGTCAAAGTCGTATCAAGTCTTCTATGACTACAGTGGAACAAACCTAGACATTCATAACAAAAAGAAATTTGGAAACTGTACAAATACATAGAAATTAAACAACATATTCTTGAATTTGGACTATTGGATCAATAAAGAAATTAAGGAGGAAATTCAAAAATTTCTTGAGCCAAATGAAAATGAGAATACCTCATACTTAAACATATGGCATATAGGAAAATGCAGTGCTAAGAGGGAAGTTTATAGCAATAAGCACTTTCATCAAAAAGGCAGAAGTATTTCAAATAAATAATCCAATCATGCATCTCAGGGAAAAGCAAGAAAAAAATCAAAATCAAAATTAGGAAAAGGGAATAAAGATAAGAGTACAATTCAATGAAATAGGGACTAAAAAAATACAAAAGATCAACAAAACAAAGGGTTGGTTTTTGAAAAGATGAACAAAATTGATCAACCATTTGCTGAATTAAAAAACAAAGAAGAACCAAATAAACAAAATCAGAGATAAAAAGTGAGATATCACAGTGAATACCACAGGAATACTAGATTATCAGAGACTATCAGGAGTAACTGTACACTAACAAACTGGAAAACCCAGATGAAATGCAAAAAATCCTGGACACATACAACTTAGCAAGATCAAATTAGAAAAAAATGGAAAACCTGAGCAGACCAATAACAAGTAATGAGATCAAAGCAGTAATCAAGAGTCTCCCAATAAAGAAAAGACCACAATTGGATGACTTCAATACAGAATTCTACCAAACTTTCAAGAAAGAAACCAATTCCTCTCAAAATATGCCAAGAAATTGAAGAAGAATGAATTCTCTTTAACTCATTTTATAATGCCAGCATTACTATGATACCAAAACAAGAAAATAACAATAAAAAAGAAAAAACGACACACCAATTTGTCTGATGAACATAGAAACAAAAATCCTCAACAAAATACTAGCAAAGTATATTCAACAACACATCCAGAAAATAATACACCATGATCAAGTGGGATTTAACTAAGTGATGCAAGGATGGTTCAACACATGAAAATGAATAAACGTGATGTTAACACACCACATCAACAGAATGAAGAACAAAAGCCATATGATCATCTCAATAAGTGCAGAAAATGAATTTGATAAACTTCAACATCCCTTTATGCCAAAGCTCTCAACAAACTAGGCACAGAAAGAACGCACCTCAACATAATAAAGGACATATATGACAAATCCACAGGTAACATCATACTGAATGGGGAAAAGCTGAAATTCTTTAAGAACTGGAACAATACAAGGATGCCACATTTGCTAAGCAAAGTTTTAGAATGTTATAAAATATTTATATTGTAATTCAACATAGTACTGGAAGTCTTAGCAAGAACAATCAGGCAAGAGAAATAAATAAACAGCAACCAAATTGGGAAACAAGAAGTCCAACTATCCCTGTTTACAGATTATATGATCTTATATCTAGAAAGCCTATGGACTCAATCAAAAACTTCTTTGATCTGAAAAATAAATTCAGTAAAGTTTCAGGACACAAAATCAGTAGACAAAAAAAAAAATCAGTATATAAAAATCCATAGATACAAAATTAGTGATAAAAAAATCAGTAGCTACAAAAATCAGGATACGAAAGTCAGTAGAATTTCTATTCACTAATAATAAAGTAGCCAAGAAAAAAATAAAGAGGGCAATCCAATTTACCATAGCTAAAAAAGTAAAATACCTAGGAATAAATGTAAGCAAGGAGGTGAAAAAGCTCTACAAGGAAAACTACAAAATAATAATAAAATAAATTGAAGAGGACACAAAAAATGAAAAGACACCCCATGCACACATATTGAAATCATTTAGATCATTAAAATTATTATACTGCCCAAAGCAATCAACAAATTCAATGCAATCCCTACCACGATACCAGAGTCATTTTTCACATAATTAGAAAAAATGAATCCTAAAATTTGCATGGAACAAATGGGGAGCCCAAATAGCGAAAGCAATCCTGGGAAAAAAGAACCAAGCTGGAGGTACCGCACTACCTAACTTCAAAATATATTACAAGGCTGTAGTGACCAAAGAGTATGGTATTGATATAGAAACAGGCGCATAGGACAATGGGACATAAAAGAGGACCCAGAGATCAATATGCATATTTAAAGTCAACTGATTTTCAATATAGGTGCTAAGTACATACATTTGGGAAATGATAGTCTCTTTAATAAATGGTGCTTGGAAAATCAAATATTCGTATGCAAAAGAATGAAAGTGAACCCTTATTTCTCACCATATACAAAGGCTTAAATGTGAGATTCAAATCTATAATACTACTGGAAGGAAACCTAGAGAAAAATCTTCATGACCTTAGTCTAGGCAAAGATTTTATGCTTAAGAACTCAAAGGCACAGACAACAAAACACAAATAGACAAGTGAAATTATACTAAACTAAAAACTTCTGTACAACAAAGGAAGCAATCAAGAGAATGAAGTCACAACCTGTTGAATGGAAGAAAATATTTGCAAACTATTCATTTGATAAGGGACTAATATCCAGAATATACAAGGGACTCTAATAACTCAATAGCTAAAAAACAATCCTATTAAAAATTGGGCAAATAATCTAGGCATTTCTCAAAAAAGACATAAATATGACTGACAGGTATATGAAAAAATGCTCAACATTCCTAACTAACAAAGAAATGCAAAACAAAACCATGATGAGATATCACACCCCAGTTGAAATGGCTTTTATCCAAAAGACAAAAAATAACAAATGTTAGTGAGGATGCAGAGAAATAGGAACTCATATACTTTTGGTGAGAATATAATGCCGTAGAGCCACTATGGAAAACAGTATGGAAATTTGTCAAAAAAAAAACTAATAGCAGCACTCCCACATAATCCAGCAATCCTAATACTGAATATTTATCCAAGAGAAATCACTATATCAAATATAGGAATGCCTGCACTACCATGTTTATCACAGCAGTATTCACAATAGCAAACATATGGAATTAACCAAAGTGTCAGTCAATGGAGAAGTGGATAAAAAATGTGGTATATATACACAATGGTATGTTATTCAATCATAAAAAAGAATGAAATCATTTCATTTGCAGCAACGTGGATGGAAATGGGGACCATTATGTTAAATGAGATAAGCCAGGCACAAAAATACAAAATCACATTCTCATTCATATGTGACAGCTAAAAACGTTTATCTCACAGAATAGAATGACAGATGCCAGAGGCTGGGAATAGTGTGGATGGGAGGGGTGATTAAAAAAGGTTTATTAATGGATACAAATATACAGTTACATACAAGAAATAATTTCCAATGTTTGATAGGAAAGTGGGATGACTATAGTTAGCAACAATGTATTGTATATTTCAGAGGCTGGAAGGTGGGGCTTGAAATGTTCCTAACACAGAGAAGCGATAAATACTCCAGATGCTGGATATCCCAAATTCCCTGACTTGATCATTACACATTCTATGCATGCAACAAATACATGTACCCCATAAGTATGCAAAATATTATGTCCCAATAAGAAAAGATACACATTTGTTTAAATGTGCTTTTTAAGCAAGTTTACTGTACCACAGAATGTGTAAGTAATCATTTTCACTTACTTTGTTTTTTTGCTAACAATTTAAGGGCATGAGTTTGCAAAAGCTGTCACACCTTAAAATCTTTTGACAGCTTGCATATATTCTTCTTTGGTAAGCTGAATAATGACAGCTGAATATTAATACTCATTTATCTTGGATAATTATGAAATTGTCTAGTCTGGACTAGTGAATTGCTGGAGCTATTCTATGAGCCGCTTGTGTTATAATCGTGCTCTTAAATCCATTCTAGGGGTAATACAAAGGTAAGTTAATTGTTCCAATCCCTGCCCACCCTCTAGAAGCTTCTAGCTAAAAGCTAAGCAAATTTTCAGAACGTGATAAAATATTTATACTATAACTGGTTAAGTACAACAGAGGCTATATCACAGTAAGCTACAATATTGAAAACAGAAATTCACTCTTAAAAATTTACTAGTAAAAATAAATTTAGTTATTACACCTATTAATAACAGATTATTTTACAACTTTTAAAACTGTATACTTTAAAACTAGAGGCACATGTCATTAGAGAGTGTGGTTAAATCTAGAGACTGAATGTAATATTAACAAAACAATGATGGGGGAGGGGACAAGATGGTCAACTAGATGCAACCAAGAAGCACTACTCCCATGGAGACAGACCTAATTACGAAGTAAACCACCATAATGTGGGAAGATCTTTGGAGAGAAATATATGAGGGTGGATAGAACGGTTACACTGGGGCCTAGGCTGAAGAGGGAGGAAGCTGGAAACCCTGCGCAAGATACATGAATGCTAGAGCTACTTTCAGACCCTGGAGAGCGCCTGAAAAGAGGGTAAGTGAAAGAATGAAAGGACAGCTCACTCTTGCCATTGACCTATGGGATCCTAGATACAGGGGACCACGCATTCCCGACAGACATGTGAGCTGGTCTGGGGAATCTTCCCATGGAACAAGTAGAGATATGCCTTTAAACGGCTTAAAGGCCAGGAGTTTTTGTGCACTGGGCAGCTCCGGTGGAGAGCAGTAATAGATGGCCATCTCCCAGCACTCCCCATTTTTCTCTGGGAGGCACAGGCCTTAGCTGACCTCTGAGCCAGAAGAGAGTGAAACCTGCTTCTCCATGGGACTGACGCATGTCTATTCTGCACAGCGCAGCCTCTGCAGCCCAGCCTCAGTGCATTGCTCCACCTGAGTATTTTCCTGGTGACCTGGGAAAACATTGGATCCCTCAGTGCGGCCAGAACCCAACTCCAAGCCTTGGGACATCCTAGTGCCTCAGGGCTGTGGCATGCAGCTCTGGAGTAGGTAGCCAAGATCTAAGGCCAGCACTCAAGCAGGGAAGGAGCCCCCAACCTGAGAGCACTGAGAAGGGCAAGATGGGTGAGTCCCTGAGTCAGGGCAGGAGTAGGGTGTGCCTTCCTCTGCCAGGCTGGTCCAGAAAGGGTGTGGCCACTGTGTCTGCCTGAGGTGGCCCTTTGGCCCACAATATCTAACAAAAGAAAGCCAGGCGTGGCAGTGGTGATTGAAGGGAGCTCTGAGAAAGCCGAAGAGCAAATCTGGTGAGGGTGCCGTCTCTCCACTCCCAAAGCAGAGCATGCCTGCAAATGACAAAAAGTACAAAGGAGTCATGTGGCTATTAGCCTAACTACTGGCCATCACTCCCTAGCTTCAGCTACTGGATAAAAGTCAAAACTACAACGCCAAATATTCTGCCAATATATACACCTGTGAAACCGAGCACAATAATTCACCCATACATAAGGATCCTGTACAGAGCCCTGGCCCTCTGAGTGTCAAGAATGAAAGCCAACTGACTATACTCAACTTACACCACAGTTAAAGGAATACCAAGCTTCTCAGATGAGAAATAAGCACAAAAGTCTGGCAATTAAAAAAGCCAGAGTGTCCCTTACCTTCAAAAGCCACAGTGTCCCTTACCCACTAGCTCCCCAGCAATGGTTCTTAACCAGTCTGAAGTGACTGAAATGACAGACATAGAATTCAGCATCTTGATGGCAAGGAAGTGTACTGAGATTCAGGAGAAAGTTGAAACCCTATCCAAGGAATCCAAGAAATCTAGTAAAATGATCCAAGAGCTGAAGGATAAAATAGACATTTTAAGAAAGACGTAAACCAAACTTCGAAAGCTAAAAAAACCACAAGAATTTCACATTACAATCTGAAGCATTAACAGCAGAATAGGCTAAGCTGAGGAAAGAATTTCAGAGCTCAAAGACAAGTTCCTTAAATCAATTCAGTCAGACAAAAAATAAAGAGAAAAAGAATTAAGAAAAATGAACAAAACCTCTTAGAAATATGGGATTATGTAGAAAAAACAAATCTACAGTTCATCAGCATTCCTGAGAGGAGACAGCATAAGCGACTTAAAAATATATTGGAGGACATCATCCATGAAAATTTCCCTAATCTCTCTGAGGATGTTGACATGCAATCCAAGAAATACATAAAACCATGTCTAGATACTATAAAAGATGACCATTCCTAAAACACACAGTCATCAGAGTCACCAAGGTCAATGCAAAATTAAAAAAAAAACTTAAAGGCAGCTAGAAAAAAGGGTCAAGTCACATATAGAAGGAACACCATCAAGCTAAAAGTAGACCTTTCAGTAGAAACCTTATAAGCCACAAGATATTGAGGGCCTATTTTTAGCATCCTTAAAGGAAAGAAATTATAACCAAGTATTTCATATTTCACCAAACTAAACTTCATAAACAGAAAAGAAACAAAATCCTTCTCAGACAAGCAAATGATAGTGGCGTTCATTTCAACTAGACAAGTCTTATTAGAGGTTGTTAAGTTAGTGCTAAACAGGGAATCAAAACAACACCTGCTAACACAAAACACACATAAGTACACAGCACACAGGTTCTATAAAGCAACTATGCAATCAAGTCTACATAACAACCATCACAAAATCAAAATCTCACATGTCAATATCAACCCTGAATGTAAATGGGCCACATTCCCCCACTTAAAAGATACAGAGTTGCACGCTGGATAAAAGAGAAGATTCAACCATCTATTGTCTTCAAGAGATCCATCTCACATGTAACAGCACACCCAGGCTCAAAATAATGTGTTGGATAAAGATATGCCATGAAAACAGAAAAAAAATGAGCAGGAGATGCTATTTTTATATCAGATAAAACAGACTTTAAACCAACAAAAATTAAGAAAGACAATGATGGGCATAACATATTGATAAAGGGCACAATCCAACAAGAAGACTTTACTAAATATATGTAGATCAAACATTGGAGTACTCACATATATAAAACAAGGTCTTCTCGGCCTACAAAAAGACTTAGACAATCACACAATAATACTAGGCGGTTTCAACACCCCACTGACATTGTTAGACAGATCATTGAGGCAGAAAACTAACAAAGAAACTTGACACTTGACCAGTTGGACCTAAGAGACATTACAAGTCACTCCGTCCAGCAACCACAGAATATACATTCTTCTCACCTGCACACAGAACATATTCAAAGGTTGACCACATGCTCAGACATAAAGCAAGTCTTAATAAATTTTTTAAGAAAAATTGAAATCACACAAAGCACACTCTCAGTCCGTAGTGCAATACAAACAAATGAATATCAAGATCTCTCGAAACTACACAAATATATGGAAATTAGACAAAGTGTTTCTTAATAATTCCTGGGTTAACATCAAACTTAAGTCAAAAATTTAAAAAATCCTTGAAATTAATGAAAATAGGAACACAACTTACCAAAATCTCTGGAGTGAAGCTAAACCAGTGTTAAGAGGAAAGTTTATGGCCCTAAATCCCTTCAAGAAGTTAGATCTCAAATTAATAACCTAACTTTGCAACTAAAGGAACTAGGGAAAAAAAAGAAACAAATCAACCCCAAAGCTAGCAGAAGAAAATAAATAACTAAAATTAGAAAAGAATTAAATAAAATTGAGCTGAAAATATCCATATAAAAGATTGTGAAATGAAGGGACTGTTTCTTTGCAAAGACAAATAAGATTGGAAAGCCATTATCTAGATTAACACAGAAAAAATCCAAATAATTTCAATCAGAAATGACAATAGTGACATTACAACTGATCCCACAGAAATATAAGATGCTCCAAGATTCCTAGGAATGACTCCATGCACACAAATTAGAAAATCTAGAGGAAATAGATAAATTCCTGTAAACACACAGTCTTCTATGATTGAATCAGGAAGACATTGAAACCCAGAATACACCAATATCAAACTCTGAAGTTTTATCAGTAATAACAAACCTGTCAACCAAAAAAAGTTCTGCATCAGATGGATCCACTGCTGAATTCTACCAGAGGTAGAAAGAAGAACTGGTACCAATTATCATGAAACTATTGCAAAAAATGAAGGAGTAGGGTTTCCTCCGTAACTCAGCCTGTGAAACGAGCATTACCCTAATACAAAAATCTGACAGAGACACAATGAAGAAAAAAAATAGGGCCACTAATTCTCATGAAGATAGATGCAAAAGTTCACAGGAAAATACTAGTAAATCTAATCCAGCAGCACATCCAAAAGTTAATTTACCACAATACAAGTAGGCTTCATTCCTGAGATGCAAGTTTGACTCAACATACATAAATCAATGAATGTGATAAAACATGTGAAGAGAATTAAAATAAAAAACATATAATCATCTCAATATACACATAAAAAGTTTTCCATAAAATCTAACATTCTTCATGATAAAAACCTTCAACAAACCAGGTATTGAAGGAATATCCCTCAAAATAATAAGAGCCATCTGTGACAAACCCACAGCCAACAAAATATTGAAAGGGCAAAAGCTAGAACCATTCCCCTTGAGAACTGGAACAAGACAAGGATGCCCACAACCACCACTCCTATTTAACATAATACTGGAAGTGCTAGCAAGAGCCACCAGGCGAAAAAAAAAAAAAAAAAACCATTCAAGTAGGAAAAGAACAAGTCAAATTATCTCTCTGTTGACGATATGATTTTATACTTAGAAAACCTTAAAGACTGTAAAAAAAAGGCAACTAGAATTGATAAACAATTTTAGTAAGGTTTCAGGATACAAAATCCATGTACAAAATTTAGTAGCATTTCTATACACCAATAACATGCAGACTGAGAATCGAATCAAGAACACAATCCCATTTACAAATCCCAGAAAGAAAGTAAAATACCTAGGAATGCAGCTCACCAAGAAGGTGAAAGATGTCTGTAAGGAGAACTACAAAAAAACTGCTGCAAGAAATCAGAGATGAGGCCGGGCGCGGTGGCTCACGCCTGTAGTCCCAGCACTTTGGGAGGCCGAGGCGGGCGGATCACGAGGTCAGGAGATTGAGACCATCCTGGCTAAAACGGTGAAACCCCGTCTCTACTAAAAATACAAAAAATTAGCCGGGCGTAGTGGCGGGCGCCTGTAGTCCCAGCTACTTGGGAGGCTGAGGCAGGAGAATGGCGTGAACCCGGGAGGCGGAGCTTGCAGTGAGCCGAGATCCCGCCACTGCACTCCAGCCTGGGCGACAGAGCGAGACTCCGTCTCAAAAAAAAAAAAAAAAAAAAAAAAAAAAAAAAAAAGAAATCAGAGATGACACAAATATATGGAAAAAATTCCATGCTCATGAATTGGAAAAATCAATATCATTAAAATGGCCACATCACCCAAAGCAATTAACAGTCAGTGCTATTCCTGTGAAACTCTGAACATCATTCTTCAAAGAATGAGAAAAAAAAATTCTAACTTTCACATGGAACCAAAACAAGCCTAAATAGCCAAGGGCAAATCTAAGAAAAAGAACAAAGCTGGAGACATTATACTACGTGACTTCAGACAATACTGTAAGGCTACAGGAACCAAAACAACAAAGTACTGGTACAAAAACAGACACACAGACCAATGAAATAGAATAGAAAACTCAGAAATAAAGCCACACACTTATAAGCACTTGATCTTTAACAAGACCAAGAAAAACAGAAAATAGGAAAAGTACTCCCTATTCAATAAATGGTGTTGAGGTAACTGGCTAGTCATTTGCAAAATAATGAAATTAGACCCTTATCTTTCACCATATATAAAAATTAACTCAAGATGTATTAAAGATTTAAATATAAGACTGAAAACTACAAAAATCTTACAGGAAAACTTAGGAAATACCCTTCTCCACATTAGCTTTGGTGAGGAATTTTTGGCTAAGTTCCCAAAAGCAATTACAGAAAAAAAAAAAAAAACTTGACAAGTGGGACCTAATTAAACTAAATAGATTCTACACAGTGAAGTTAACTATCAACAGAATAAACAGACAACCCACAGAATGGGAAAAAAATATTCACAAACTGTGCATACTACAAAGGCCTGATATCTAGAATCTAAAAAACTTAAACAAATCAACAAAAAACAACCCCAATACAAAATGGGCAAAGACACGAAAAGGAGGCATATAAGCAGCCAACAAAAACATGAAAAAATGCTCATCAATAATCATCAGAGAAATGCAAATCAAAACCACAATGAGATATGATCTCACATAGCTCAGAACGGCTGTTATTAAAAAGTCAAAAATAACAAATACTGGCAAGGTTGCACAGAAAAGAGAATGCTTATACACTGTTGGTGGAAATGTAAACTGGTTCAGCCACTGTAGAAAGCCCTTTGGAGAGTTCTCAAAGAACTAAGAGTTGAACTACCATTTGACCCAGCAGTTACATTATGGGTTATATACCCAAAGGAAAATAAATTGCTCTACCGAGAAGACATATGCTTCCATGTTTATCGCAGCAATATTCACAATCGTAAAGACGTAGAATCCACCTAAATGTCTATCAACAGTGGACTAGATAAAGAAAATGTCATACATATACACCATGGAATACTATGGAGGCATAAAAGGGAACAAAATCATGTCCTTTGCAGTAACATGAATGAAGCTGGAGGCCATAATCTTAAGTTAATTAATGTAGAAACATAAAACCAAATACCGCATGCTCTTACTTATAAGTGGGAGCTGAACTTTGAGCATGCATGGACATAAACATGGGAACAATAGACACTTTGAGCAACTAGAGTGGGGAGAGAGGGGGTCAAAGATTGAAAAACTGCATATTGAGTATTGTGCTTACTAACTTGGTGCAATATACCCATGTAACAAACCTGTGCATGTACATCCTGTATCTAAAATGAAAGCTGAAATTTAACAGAAATGACAGCAACTACAAGTAAATGTAGCCAGACATATGATCTTGATGACTTTTAACATTTTTAGTACTTATTACTGAATATAACCGTGGAAATTCCATGAAATGCGCATTAATATAAAATGACAATATACTTAAGCTTAGTTTTTTCAGTTTTACTTACAGAATAAACTATACATACTACACATTATTTTGGAAATTGTTTATAAAGTTCTGTACTAGGTAAATATTTTTCTAGTTTCTATTTCAATTACCAATTATGAAATAACATTTCAAAATTTATGTGAAGTATTACAAAATTACCTAGGAATAGTCTTTTCTCTCTTTGGGTGAGAGAGAGTAATCATTCTTAAATATTCTTGTTGATTCTAAACATTTGCTAGGGTGTGTCTGCCTTCCCAAAAGTTTTTCACCCCGTATTGGTGGTGGCATTATTATAAAGGTAGATTAGGAAGGCCAGGATTAAGAAGAATGCTACCTTTTTATTTTATATATACTACACGTTAATTTTATATATTGTTCAAGTTTTCACAATGATCACAAATTAATTTCATTTTTAAAACTCAAGAATTTTTTTTATATTTAATTTTTGAGGGTACATAGTAGGTATATATATTATGCGGCGCATGAGATGTTTTGATACAGGCATGCAACGTGAAATAAGCACATCATGGAGAATGGGATATCCCATCTCCTCGAGCATTTATCCTTTCTATTACAAACAGTCCAATTACACTCTTTTAGTTATTTTAAAAAATACAATTAATATATTATGGACTACAGTCATCCTGTTGTGCTATCAAGTAGTATGTCTTGTTCATTATTTCTGACTCTTTTTGTAGCCATTAACTATCCTTACCTCCCCTTATGCCCTCCACTACACTTCCCAGCCTCTGGTAACCATCCTTCTACTCTCTAGGTCCATGAGTTCAATTGTTTTGGTTTTTAGATCCCACAAATAACTGAGAACATGTGATATTTGTCTTTCTGTGTCTGGCTTATTTCACTTGACATAATGAACTCCAGTTCTATTCATGTTCTTGCAAATGACTGAATCTTATACTTTTTATAGCTGACTAGTACTTCATTGTGTGTACGTACTATATTTTCTTTATCCATTCATCTGTTGATGGACACTTAGGTTGCTTCCAAATTTTGGCTATTGTAAACTGCTGAAACAAACATGGGAGTGCAGATATCTTTTAGATATACTGATTTCCCTTCTTTTGAGTATATTCCCAGCAGTGGGATTGCTGGATCATATGGTACTTATATTTTTAGTTTTCTAACAGTCCTCCAAACTGTTCTCCATAGTGTTTGTACTAATTTACATTTCCACCAACAGTGTGCAATGGTTCCCCTTTTTCCACATCCTCGCCAGAATTTGTTATTACCTATCTTTTGGATACAAGCCACTTTAGCTGAGGTAAGATAATGCCTCATTGTAGTTTTGATTTGCATTTCTCTGAGGATCAGTGATGTTGAGCACCTTTTCATATGTCTGTTTGCCATTTGTATGTCTTCTGAAAAATATCTATTCAAATCTTTTGCCCATTTTTAATTGGATTATTAGATTTTTTTCTATAAAGTTGCTTGAGCTCCTTATATGTTCTGGTTATTAATCCCTTGTCAGATGGGCAATTTGCAAATATTTGCTCCTTCTATGGGTTGTCTTTTCATTTTGTTGTTTTCTTTGTCGTGCAGAAGATTTTTAGCTTGACATGATCCCAGTTGTTCATTTTTTTGCTTTGATTGTCTGTGCTCGTGTGGTATTATGCAAGAAATTTTTGCCCAGCCCAATGTCCTAAAGGTTGTTTCCAGTGTTTTCCTGTAGTAGTTTAATAGTCTGAGGTTATAGACTAAATGTTTAAGGCCATTTTGTTTTGATTTTTGTATATGGCAAAAGATAGGAGTCTAGTTTTATTCTTCTGCATATGAATATCCAGTTTTCCCAGCACCATTTATTGAAGAAACTGTCTTTTTCCCCAGTGTATGTTTTTGGCACCTTTATGGGAATGAGTTTACTGCAGGTGTGTGGATTGGATTTGTTTCTGGGTTATCTATTTTATTCCATTGCTCTACATGTCTATTTCTTATGCCAGATCATGCTGTTTTGGTTACTATAGCTCTGTAGTATAATTTGAAGGCAGATGATGTAATTCCTCCAGTTTTGTTATTTTTGCCTAGAATAGCTTTGGCTATTCTGGGTCTTTGTGGGTCTGTATAAATGTTATGATAGTTATTTTCTCTGTGGAGAATGTCCCTGGTATTTAGATAGTGATTGTACTGAATCTGTAGATTGCTTTGGTGACTATGGAAATTTTAACATTATTGATTATTTCCGTCGATGAACATGGAATGCTTCTCCATTTTGTGGTGCCCTTTTCAATTTCTTTCATCAGTGTTTTGTAGTTTTCATTATGGAGATCTTTAACTTCTTTGGTTAATTCCTACGTATTTATTGTGGCTATTGTAAATGGGATTCCTGTTTAATTTCTTATTCAGATTGTTCACTGTTGACATATAGAAATGCCACTGATTTTTGTATGTTGATTTTGTATCTTGTAACTTCACTGAATTTATCGGTTCTAAATGTTTTGTGTGTAGTCTTTAAATTTTTCCAAATATAAGATCATATCATTTGCAAAGAAGGATAATTTGACGTCTTCCTTTCCTATATTCATGCCCTTTATTTTTTCTCTTTTCTCATTGCTCTTCCTAGAACTTCCAGTAGTATATTGAATAACTGGTGAAAGTGGGCCTCCTTGTTGTTTTCAATATCTCTGAGAAAGGGCTGTCATTTCTTCCCGTTCAATATGATACTGAGTGTCATATATGCCTTTTATTATGTTGAGGTATGTTTCTTCTATCCCTGGTTTTGTGATGGCTGTTGTTTTATCATGAAGCAATGTTGAATTTTATCAAGTGCTTTTTTAGCATTAATTGGCATAATCATAAAGTCTTTACCTTTCATTCTGTTGGTGTGATGTATCACATTGACTGATTTTCATATGTTGAACCATGCTCGCATACCAGAAATAAATCTCACGTGGTCAGGATGAACGATATTTCTAATATTTGGTTGAATTCTCTTTGCTAGTGTTTTGTTGAGGATGTTTACATCGATATTTATCAGAGATATTGACTTACAGTTTTCTTTTTTTTTTTGAGGTGTCTTTATCTGGTTTTGATATCAGCATAATACTGACTTCATAAAATGAGTTTGGAAGTATTTTCTCTTCCTCTATTTATTGGAATAGTTTAAGTAGGATTGGTACTAGGTCTTTATTAAATGTTTGCCAAAATTGAGCAGTGAAACCACTGGGTCCTGGTTTTTTTTTTTATTGGGAGGCTTTCTTATTACAGCTTTGATCCCGTTACTTGTTATTGGTCTGTTTGGGTTTTGGATATCTTTGTGGTTCAATCTTTGTAGGTTGTATGTGTGTAAGAATTTGTACATTTCTGCTATATTTTTCAATTTATTGGCATATAGTTGTTCATTGTAGCCACTAGTGATCTTTTGAATTTCTGCAGTATGAGTTGTACTGTCTTCTTTTTCACTTCTGATTTATTTATTTGTATCTTCTCTTTTTGTTTTTGTTAGTGTCGCTAAAGGTTTGTCAATGTTGCTTAAGTTTTCAAAAAATAAAAACAACTCTTTGTTTCATTGATGTATTGTTTTCTTCATTTCAATTTCATTTTTGGTTTCATCTTTATTATTTATTTTCTTCTACTAATTTGGAGTCTGGATTTTTCTTGCTTTTCTAGTTCTTTGAGATGCATTATTAGATTGTGTATTTGATGATTTTTCCCTTTTTTGAGATAGGCAATTATAGCCATAAACTCTTAGTACTGCTTTTCTGTATCCCATAGGTTTTGGTATGTTTTGTTTCTATTATTTGTTTCAAAAAAATTTTAAAGTTTCTTCTTAATTTCTTTATTTACCCACTGGTTATTCAGAAGCATATTGTTTATTTTCTTTGTATTTGCATAATTTACAAAATTCCTCTTGCTATTGATTTCTAGTTTTATTCATTTGTGGTCAGAGATGATGCTTGATATTATTTCATTTTTTTGAATGTTTTAAGGTGTCTTTTGTGATTACACATATGGTCTATCCTTGAAAATGATCCATGTGCTGAGGAAAAGAATATATTCTTCAGCTCTTGGATGAAATGTTCTGTAAATATCTATTAGACCCATTTGGTGTATAGTGCAGATCAAGTCTAATGTTTCTTTGTTGATTTGCTGTCTGAAAGACCTGTCCAATGATGAAAGTGGGGTGTTGAAGTCTCTAGCTATTATTGTATTGGGACCTATCTCTCTCTTTAGCTCTAATAATATTTCAGATCTATATGGGTGTTCCAGGTTTGATTATATATATATAAAATCAAATTTGATCATATATATAATTTGATTATATATATAAAATCAAATTTGATCATATGTATAATTTGATTATATATATAATTGTTACATCCTCTTGCTAAATTGACACCTTTATTATTATATAGTGACCTTCTTTGTTTCTTCTTACAGTTTTTTCTTGAAATCTACTTTGTCTGATATAAGTATAGCAACTCCTAATCTTTTTTGGTTTCCATTGGTATGAAACATCTTTTTCCATCTCTTTATTTTCAGTCTATATGTGTCTTTATAGGTGAAGTGTGTTTCTTGTAGACAACAGATTAATGAAATGCATCTTGATTTTTCATCCATTCAGTCATCTATGTGTTTTTGTTGGAGAGTTTAGTCCATTTACATTCAGTGTTATTATCAATAAGTAAGGACTTACTCCTGCCATTGTTATTTGTTTTCTGTTTGTTTTGTGGTCTTCTCTTCCTTTCTTCCTTTCATTCCTTTCTTCCTCTAGAGAAAGTGATTTTGTCTGGTAAGATGATTTAGTTTCTTGCTTTTTATTTTTTGTGTATCTGTTGTATGCTTTTCTGTTTGAGGTTATCATGAGGCTTGCAAGTACTATCTTGTAACCCATTATTTTAACCTTATAACAATGTAACACTATTTGCATAAACAAACAAAAGAAAACTAATATATATTCTACACCTTAAGTTTGTTCTCTTGCTTTTTAACTTTTTGTTTCTAATTGTACTTTATTGTACTGTCTATGTCTTAAAAAGGTTTTGTAGTTATTATTTTTGATCGGTTTATCATATAGTCTTTCTACTTAGGATAAGGGTAGTTTATACTCCACAGTTATGGTGTTATAATATTCTGTGTTTTTCTGTGTACTTACTATTACCTGTGAGTGATTAAAGTGATTACTTATTGCTCATTTACATTATTTTCTTTCTGATTGAAGTACTCCCTTTAACATTTCTTACAGAACAGGTCTCGCGTTAATGAAACCCTCAGATTTTGTTCATCTGGGAATGTCTTTATTTCTTTATGTTTGGAGGGAATTTTCGCTGGATATGCTATGCTAGGTCAAAAGTGATTTTTTTCTTCAGCACTTTAAATGTGTCATGCCACTATCTCCTGGCCTGTAAGGTTTCCACTGAAAAGTCTGCTGCCAGATGTATTGGAGCTTCATTGTTGTTTTTTGTTTCTTTTCTCTTGCTGCTCTTAGGATATTTTCTTTATCATCTATGTTTGGGAGTTTGATTAGTAAATGCCTTGAGGTAGTCTTCTTTGGGTTATATCTAGTTGATGATTTATAAACCTTTTGTACTTGGATATTGATATCATTCTCTAGGTTCAGGAAGTATTCTGATATTATCCCTTTGAATAACCTTTATATCTCTATGTCTTTATCTACCCTGTCTTTAAGGCCAATAACTCTTAGATTTGCCCTTTTGAGTCTATTTTCTAGATCCTCTATTTGTGCTTCATTGTTTCTTATTTTTTTTTCCTTTTGTCCCTCTGACTGTGTATTATTAAATAACATGTCTTCAAGCTCACTAATTCTTTGTTCTGCTTGATTCATTCTGTTGTTAGAGATCTCTGATGCATTCTTTGGTATATCAATTGCATTTTGAGCTCTGGAATTTCTGCTTGATTCGTTTTAATTATTTCAGTATCTTTGTTAAATTTATCTGATAGGATTCTGAATTTCTTCTCTGTATGAGCTTGAATTTCTTTTTCCTCAACATAGCTACTTTCCATTCTCTGTCTGAAAGGTAACATATCTCTGCTTCTCCAGGATTAGTCCCTTGTGTCTTATTTTCTTCATTTGGTGAGTTCATGTTTTCCTGGATTGTGTTCATGCTAGTACATATTCTTTGGTATCTGCACATTGAAGAGTTAGGTATTTATTACAGTCTTCACTGTCTGTTCTTAGTTGTGTCAATCCTTTTTGGGAAGGAGTTCCAGATATTTGAAAGGACTTGGGTGTTGTAATCTAAGCTCTATCTGCTTTGGGCACACCTCAAGACCAATAACGCTGTGATTCTTGCAGATCCAGAGTTGTACTGCCTTCATGGTCTTGACAATGTCTGGGATAATTCTCTGAATTACCAGACAGAGACTTATTATCTTCCCTTACATTTTCCCAAACAAACGAGGTCAGTCTTTCTCTTTCTGAGTACCTAAATCTGGGAGTGTAGTGACACAAACACTGCTGTGGCCACCATCACTATGACTTCATTGGGTCAGACCTGAAGCTAGCACAACATGTGGTCTCTCCCAAGGTCTGCTGTAACCACTCCCTGGCTACTGTCTATGTTCGCACTAGGCCCTGGGGCTCTACAATCAGCTGGTGGCAAAACAAGCCAACCCGGGGTCCTTCCCTTCAGGGCAGGGAGGTTCTCCAGGCCCCAGGTGGGTCCAGAGGTGCCATCCAGGAATCTGGGACTAGAGTCAATAACTTTAGTCAATAAATTTACCTGTTGTTCTATTGTACTGTGGCAATAGTGCAAAAGAAATACAAGATGCAGTCCTTCCCACTTTTCCCTACCCTTGCCAAAGGCAAAAGAGCCTCATCCTCTCATCCTGTAGCCCCCAACACCACAGACCATGGAAGTACTGCCAGACTACTGCCAACATTCCCTTAGGACCCAAGCGCTGTTAAGTCAGTTTATGGTGAATGCTGCCTGGTCTGAGACTCAACTTTCAGGGAAGTGCACTCCCCTCTGGCTCAGGGAAAGTCCAGAAATTTCATAGAAGAGTCAAGTCCTAGAATCAGAGACCTCAAGGGCCCTCTTTGTGCTCTACCCAGTTGTGGCCATGCTGGTACCTAAGATGCTAGACAAATTTCCCTTTATTTTTTCCTCTGCTTTTCTCAAGCAGAAGGAGCTTCACCTTGTAGTCCCCACGGCTAGTCATGTGCTGAGTCTCACCTGAAGCCAGAAAGTCTCAGAGGCTCACCCAAGACCCTTGGCGTAGTACCTGGATATTGCTGCTAGCTATTCGCGGCCTAAGGGCTCTTCAGTTAGTAGGTCATGGATGCTTCTAGCACTAGGTCCTTTTCTGCAAGGCAACAGTTCCCTTCTGGCACAGGCCATGTATACAAATGTCTGGGAGCTAGGGCCTAGCAGGTGATCTCCAGTTGTTAAATCATAATCTCCAGTTGTTAAATTAGTGTCCTTTTAGGGGGATGATCAGTCGAGCCTTCTATTCTGCCATCTTGTTCTGTCTTCTAAGCCAAAAATTGTTTTTCTTCTTTAAGAAAAAGTTTGAAGTGATTCAAATACACTTTTCACTTTTCAATTTGTATTTTTTATTTTATTATTATTATACTTTAAGTTTTAGGGTACATGTGCACAATGTGCAGGTTAGCTACATATGTATACATGTGCCATGCTGGTGTGCTGCACCCATTAACTCGTCATTTAGCATTAGGTATATCTCCTAATGCTATCCCTCCCCACTCCCCCCACCCCACAACAGTCCCCAGAGTTTGATGTTCCCCTTCCTGTGTCCATGTGATATCATTGTTCAATTCCCATCTATGAGTGAGAAAATGCGGTGTTTGGTTTTTTGTCCTTGTGATAGTTTGCTGAGAATGATGATTTCCAATTTCATCCACGTCCCTACAAAGGACATGAACTCATCATGTTTCATGGCTGCATAGTATTCCATGGTGTATATGTGCCACATTTTCTTAATCCAGTCTATCGTTTTGGACATTTGGGTTGGTTCCAAGCCTTTGCTATTGTGAATAATGCCGCAATAAACATACATGTGCATGTGTCTTTATAGCAGCATGATTTATAATCCTTTGGGTATATACCCAGTAATGGGATGGCTGGGTCAAATGGTATTTCTAGTTCTAGATCCCTGAGGAATCGCCACACTGACTTCCACTATGGTTGAACTAGTTTACAGTCCCACCAGCAGTGTAAAAGTGTCCCTATTTCTCCACATCCTCTACAGCACCTGTTGTTTCCTGACTTTTTAATGATTGCCATTCTAACTGGTGTGAGATGGTATCTCATTGTGATTTTGATTTGCATTTCTCTGATGGCCAGTGATGGTGAGCATTTTTTCATGTGTCTTTTGGCTGCATAAATGTCTTCTTTTGAGAAGTGTCTGTTCATATCCTTTGCCCACTTTTTGATGGGGTTGTTTGTTTTTTTCTTGTAAATTTGTTTGAGTTCATTGTAGATTCTGGATATTAGCCCTTTGTCAGATGAGTAGGTTGTGAAAATTTTCTCCCATTTTGTAGGTTGCCTGCTCACTCTGATGGTAGTTTCTTTTGCTGTGCAGAAGCTCTTTAGTTTAATTAGATCCCATTTGTCAATTTTGGCTTTTGTTGCCATTGCTTTTGGTGTTTTAGACATGAAGTCCTTGCCCATGCCTATGTCCTGAATGGTAATGCCTAGGTTTTCTTCTAGGGTTTTTATGGTTTTAGGTCTAACGTTTAAGTCTTTAATCCATCTTGAATTAGTTTTTGTATAAGGTGTAATGAAGGGATCCAGTTTCAGCTTTCTACATATGGCTAGCCAGTTTTCCCAGCACCATTTATTAAATAGGGAATCCTTTCCCCATTGCTTGTTTTTCTCAGGTTAGTCAAAGATCAGATAGTTGTAGATATGTGGCGTTATTTCCAAGGGCTCTGTTCTGTTCTGTTTTGGTACCAGTCCCATGCTGTTTTGGTTACTGTAGACTTGTAGTATAGTTTGAAGTCAGGTAGCATGATGCCTATAGCTTTGTTCTTTTGGCTTAGGATTGTCTTGGCTATGCAGGCTCTTTTTTGGTTCCATATGAACTTTAAAGTAGTTTTTTCCAATTCTGTGAAGAAGATCATTGGTAGCTTGATGGGGATGGCATTGAATCTATAAATTACCTTGGGCAGTATGGCCATTTTCACGATATTTATTCTTCCTACCCATGAGCATGGAATGTTCTTCCATTTGTTTGTATCCTCCTTTATTTCATTGAGCAATGGTTTGTAGTTCTCCTTGAAGAGGTCCTTCACATCCCTTGTAAGTTTGATTCCTAAGTATTTTATTCTCTTTTAAGCAATTGTGAATGGGAGTTCACTCATGATTTGGCTCTCTGTTTGTCTATTATTGGTGTATAAGAATGCTTGTGATTTTTGTACATTGATTTTGTATCCTGAGACTTTGCTGAAGTTGCTTATCAGCTTAAGGAGATTTTGGGCTGAGACAATGGGGTTTTCTAGATATACAATCATGTCGTCTGCAAACAGGGACAATTTGACTTCCTCTTTTCCTAATTGAATACCCTTTATTTCCTTCTTCTGCCTAATTGCCCTGGCCAGAACTTCCAACACTATGTTGAATAGGAGTGGTGAGAGAGGGCATCCCTGTCTTGTGCCAGTTTTCAAAGGGAATGCTTCCAGTTTTTGCACAATCAGTATGATATTGGCTGTGGGTTTGTCATAAATAGCTCTTATTATTTTGAGATAAGTCCCATTAATACCTAATTTATTGAGAGTTTTTAGCATGAAGAGTTGTTGAATTTTGTCAAAGGCCTTTTCTGCATCTATTGAGATAATCATGTGGTTTTTGTCTTTGGTTCTGTTTATATGCTGGATTACATTTGTTGATTTGCGTATATTAAACCAGCCTTCATCCCAGGGATGAAGCCCTCTTGATCATGGTGGATAAGCTTTTTGATGAGCTGCTGGATTCGGTTTGCCAGTATTTTATTGAGGATTTTTGCATCAATATTCATCAAGGATATTGGTCTAAAATTCTCTTTTTTGGTTGTGTCTCTGCCAGGCTTTGGTATCAGGATGATGCTGGCCTCATAAAATGAGTTAGGGAGGATTCCCTCTTTTTTTTAAATACCTGAATTCTTTTACCACAATTTTCAATGTGCCAAGACTCTGAACCAAATGTCTGCCTACCCACATTCCCTAACAGATTCTTGTGTTTCCATACATGGATAGAAGCCGATTTGGGGCAACATTTCCTATCAAAAGTGCTCCTCGTCAAAATAGCTCTGTTTTTCATTCTTTCAAACATGAGTAAGTTAGGCACATCCTGTTTGCTATGTCATGGCTTTTCCTTAAACTAGGTCTTATTCTTTGGAAAATACCTATGTGTTTTGTTGTTTTGTTTTAATCTATTCTGAAAACATCAGCTTTTATGAATTAACCCACAAGTTATTAAAAATGACATATTTTAATGCAAATAAAATATTTCTATATTTAGACAATTTAATCACATGGATTATCTTAACACTATCAGTTTAAAACTATGAGTATTTTATATACATTTTCAAAGTAATTATAATTTCTTAGCACCTGAGGAGATTTAGGGGTAGAGATGGAGATGGCAGGATAATTTTCTGCTATATAAACATTTTATTAATTTAAACTGCCTTGTCTCTCACCTACTGTAAATCAAGTTCTGAATTTTTGTGATAATAATTGTTCTGTAGACATTGCAGAAGCTTTCCCATTCACAGATAAGAACACAGCTAAGTCATATCTATGATAAACCTTTGGGAGTTTACATTTTACAAGAACAATTCTCGCTTTTAGTTATTTGTTGTGCTTTAGATCTGTAAGATTAAAATATTTTTTAAAACTGTAAGAACAAAAAAGAACTTACACAATGCAATGAGATTAAATGAAAAAAATTAAAATGCAAAACTCTAGCAGGTTTCAAACTTATATTACAGAATCCTTGGTCAAACATCAGTTTTAGTGAAAGCAAATGTAAACTTGCTGTGTGCTTATGTACCACATGCCTAGTAGATACTCAATAATGTGAAGTGGCCAGCTGACAAAATGATCCTGTATAGTGAAAGGTTTACCACTGATTTTTCTTTTTAATTAAGGCTATGCAAAAAGTTATTTTAATCATGTCTTAAAGTTGCATATAAAATATATATATGGGTAACCTGATGACTGTACATGATGCCAAAAAAATACTTAATATTTTAAAATGTAACAGCACTTTCTGATGTTGGCTTAAGATTGTGAGAGCTATGCAAGGAAAATTATGCAAGTTTTCCTTAGTGCTGAACTACCTAGTTTATTACTATGACTACCCTCTTTTTCTATAATTCTTTGACTCCCACTTCTTTCTGTCTCAACAGCTGCTGTTCTGTCTTATTATATCTGGCCATTCGAAGACATCTACAGATTTATTTTATTGTATCAACAATAGAATTCTTTCAAATTACATTTTCTTGTAAATTTCCTATTTTGATTTATTTTTTAACCAAACTCTCCACAATTTTCTCATCACTAAACAATGGAGACATATAACTGGTGCCTAATCACTGTAGGAAGTTAACAGTAGATATGGTGAAAGTGGGCAGCCAACCAGATGCCATATTGCAGGAGCTTGCCGCAGATTGCTGTTCAATTCTAGAACTTCGCAGCAGGGTACTAGGCCCCCACATTTAATTTCATTAACGAATAATTCTCCTCAGAGAGCACATAAAAATAGGCAATAAGCATCAAATGTGAACCTGAGATACTTTGAATGGTGATATGATGATACCAGCAAGGCAGGAAATCAGACCTTTTCCACATGCTAGCTGTCATGTGAGTGACATCTGTGTTCCATGGGGGCTGTGACACCCTGCTTTAAATATACAGAAATGTATAATATCTAAAAGAACAAAACAATAGCCAGCACGAGATGCCCTTCACAAAGAAGCTGGAGCAAAATCCAAGCATGCTCAGCTATTGCTGCTCTTTCTAAAAAAGCAGTTTATTCTCTCAGGTACCTGTGATTCTCCTGTTAAGTTAGTCTCCCCTCATAGCACCTGTATTTTTCTTCCCATTTAGGATACAGGTGTGTGTATGTGGGGTAGGTTTCAGAAGAAGGCTCATGTTTACTAGGTTGCTATGAATATGAACCTGATTTATTTTACATGTGTTTTCTCATTTAATCTTTTTTAGCAATCCTCTGAGGTGGGTAGAATTATGCCCATTTTAACATAATGAAAATAAGCTTCAGAGAGAGATTAAGTCACTTTTTCACAACTAGGAAGAGACAGAACTGAGATTCAAATACAGGATTTTCTGGATTCCCACTGTTTTGCACTGAGGAGAAAATTTTCAGCTTCTATTTGTTACCAGTTGTAAGCCCTTACGATGTGCTCCACATAATAAAAACCTATGCTATTTCTGGCTTTAAATGTTTGTTGCTGGAGAATAGAAGTGTTGTACATATATGTTGAAATGATGGACCTTACATGTGATATTTTGTTTTGTTTTGTTTTTGACAAGTTTGCAATTATATACAGAGGCTTACCAACAATTCTTCTATTTCATATTAAAGATACTTCCTGCTAGGTTTAGAATAAAAATAACTTATTCAATTCTGTCCAAAGAGGATTAGTTAATTTTTCAAGGGAATTCCTTAAGAAGTGTAGCTATCTTCATTCAATGCTTTTAAGCTTAGCTATGATAATAGGGGGTCTTGTTCCACTTCTGCTTATCAGTAGAAATTTTCTATTTGTATGACATTTCCCTAGCAGAGCATTGTGATTGACACTGCTTGTAAGACAAGTAAAATGTTAGCCGAGCAATGTCAGTTGAAACTCTAGAATTCACTGTTGATCTTTTTAAAATAAATAAACTGACAATGACAGCACTTTCTCACATATGGTATATTTGGAAAGGAGTGGGTCAGGGATTTGGATGCCAGAACTCCAGAGACTGAAAGCCAAAAGGTAACTCTTGCCCAGACCCCTATTCTGTAAGATTGAACGAAGTTCTTTTCAAGAATAAATTTCAAGTAGTTTTGTGATGGTAAGTGGTTTATATTAGGCAGCGATCTCCAGAGAAACAGAACTCATAGATTGGATGGAGATAAAGAATTGTCTCCCACTATTGTGAAAGCAGAGGTCTCACAATCCTCAGTCTGCAAGCTGGGGACCAAGGAAAGATGATATGTAGTATTGGTCTCAGTCCAAAGGCCTGCGAACGAGGAAAGCCAAGTCCAGTAAATTCCAGTCCCAAATCCAGCAGCTTCAAGATCCAAGAAGAACCGATGCTTCAGTCTGAGTCCAAAGGATAGAAAACACGAGTGTCCCACCTCAACAATCAGGCAAGAGGAATTCTTTCATACTCAGGCTTTTTGTTCAGTTCCAGTCTTCAATTAAATAGATGAGGCCCATTCACATTAGGAAGGGCAATCTACTTAACTCAGTCTACTGATTTATATGTTAATCTAATTCAGAAACATCTTCACAACACACCCAGAATAATGTTTGACCAAATGCTTGGGCACCCCTTAGCCCAGTCAAATTGACACATTAAATTAACTACCACAAAGATACATTTCAGAAAGTCAAGGATCAGAAACTATTAGAATGTAAAAGATAACTTTCTTATTGAAGGATGTTAATATCAGGAATATATTTTTACAACTCCTACAACTCAATACCAAAAACAAATAACCCATTTAAACAATGGGCAAAGGACTTGAATGGGAACTTCTCCAAAAAAGATGTACAAGTAGCCAACAAGCGTATAGAAAGATGCTCAACATCACTAATCAACAGGGAAATGCAAATCAAAGACTCAATGAGATTTCACCTCACACCAATTAGGATATCTACTGTAAAAACACACAGAGGTGCAAAAACACGCACACATGTTCAGAAAATGGCAAGGGTTAGTGAGGAGATAGAGAAATTAAAACCTCTATGCACTGTTAGTGGGAATGTGAGATGGTATATCTGCTGGGGAAAACAGTATGGAGGTTTCTCAAAAAATGAAAAATAGAATTACCCTATGATCCAACAATTCCACTTCTGGGTATATATTCCAAGGAATTAAAAACAGGGTTTTGAAAAGATATTTGTATGCCTATATGCATACCATTATTCACAACAGCCAAAACATGGAAACAATCTAAATATCCATCAATGAATGAATGTATGAACAAAAATTTGGTACATGCATACAATGAAATATTATTCATTCTTACAAAGGAAGGAAATTCTGACACATGCTGTGACATAGATAAACTTTGAGGACATTATGCTAAGTGAAATTAGCCAGTTACATAAACACAAATATTTCATTATTTTATTTATATGAGCTATCTAGAGTAGTTAAGCTAAGGAAGGTTTAATAGAATGGTCATTGCGTGGGGTTTGGGGAGGGGAAATGGGTAGTTTATTGCAAGGGTTCCCACTCCATGAGCCATGGACTGGTACGAGTCCACACAGCAGGAGGTGAGCAGCAGGCAAATGAGCATTAATGCCTGAGCTCTGCCTCCTGACAGATCAGTGGCGGCACTCAATTATCATAGGAGCAGGAACCCTATTGTGAACTGTGCATGCAAGGGGTCTAGGTTGTGCACTCCTTATGAGAATCTAATTAATGCCTGCTGATGTGAGGTAAAACAGTTTCATCCTGAAACCCTCCTCCCCGGTAACCCCACCCTCATCCGTGGAAAAAATTGTCTTCCATGAAACTGGTCCCTGGTGCCAAAAATGTTGGGGACTGCTGGTTTAATGGATATGAAAAAGTTCTAGAGATGGGTGGCACAACAGTGTAACTATACTTAACACTACTGAACTGTAGATTGAAAAGGGTTTATAATGGCAAATGTTACGTTGAAAAGCATTTATAATGGCAAATGTTATGTATATTTTACCACAATTTGAAAAATACATCAGTCAAATTAATTTTTTCCCAGAAAAAGTCACATAAGAGGCTTACTTTTGAGAACCTGATATTGCACCTCATATAGTTAACAAGCCATTTTCACTGGAGATAGAAACTGTGTTAATAAATAAATTGAATGAAACAATATATGGAGCATAAAATTTTGTAAAAGTCACATACACAATTTAAAGTTGTAAAAGTTTGCTAATAATAAAAATGTATGCAATGTGATTAAAATATCATTGTGTAAAAAAGACAACACTTTAACACATGTTTAGTACAGTTCCGGTAACTAGGAGTATAGAAATTTTAAAAATAAAGAAGAAAGAAAACCATGATTCTTTAAATGAGCATTTAACATAAAAATAAATGCATATGTTCAATAAGCATATAAAATGATTAATCCTCCTTATGCTTCAAGAAAACAAAATAAGAAGCTATGTTTTCACTAAATTGGCAGAAATTACACAGTAGAATAAAACCCAATATTTAAAAAGATAGAGGAAAAAAGGGACCATCATGCATTTCTGCCTTCATTCAAAGGCAGCTTAACAATATTTATTTAATGTTTAAATTATACTTTAAGTTCTGGGATACATGTGCAGAACGTGCAGATTTGTTACATAGGTATACACATGCCATGGTGGTTTGCTGCACCCATCAACCCGTCATCTACATTAGGTATTTTTCCTAATGCTATCCCTCCCTTACCCCCACACCCCAACAGGCCTCAGTGGTGTGATGTTCCCTTCCCTGTGTCCATGTGTTCTCATTGTTCAACTCCCATTTATGAGTGAGAACATGCGGTGTTTGGTTTTCTGTTCCTGCGTTAGTTTGCAGAGAATGATGGTTTCCAGCTTCATCCATGCTCCTGCAAAGGACATGAACTCATCCTTTTTTATGGCTGCCTTGTATTCCATGGTATATATGTGCCACATTTTCTTAATCCAGTCTATCCTTGATGGACATTTGGGTTGGTTGCAAGTCTTTGCTACTGTGAACAGTGCTGCAGTAAACACAAGTGTGCATGTGTCTTTACAGTAGAATGATTTAAAATTCTTTGGGTATATACCCAGTAATGGGATTGCTGGGTCAAATGGTATTTCTGGTTCTAGATCCTTGAGTAATTGCCACACTGTCTTCCACAATGGTTGAACTAATTTACACTCCCACCACCAGTGTAAAAGCGTTCCTATTTCTTCACATCCTCTCCAGCATCTGCTGTTTCCTGAATTTTTAATGATTGCCATTCTAACTGGTGTGAGATGGTATCTTATTGTGGTTTTGATTTGCATTTCTCTAATGACCAGTGATGATGAGCTTTTTTTAAATATGTTTGTTGGCCTCATAAATGTCTTTCTTTGAGAAGTGTTTATTTATATCCTTCACCCACTTTTTGATGGAGTTGTTTGATTTTTTCTTGTAAATTTGTTGAAGTTCTTTGTAGATTCTGGATATTAGCCCTTTGTCAGCTGGGCAGATTGCAAAAATGTTCTCCCATTCTGTAGGTTGCCTGTTCACTCTGAGGATAGTTTCTTTTGCTGTGCAGAAGCTCTTTAGTTTAATTAGATCCCATTTGTCAATTTTGGCTTTTGTTTCCATTGCTTTTGGTGTTTTAGTCATGAAGTCTTTGCCCATGCCTATGTCCTGAATGGTATTGCCTAGGTTTTCTTCTGTAGTTTTTATGGTTTCAGGTCTTACATTTAAGTCTTTAATCCATCTTGAGTTAATTTCTGTATAAGGTGTAAGGAAGGGATCCAGTTTCAGTTTTCTGCATATGGCTAGCAAGTTTTCCCAACACCATTTATTAAATAGGGTGTTGCTTGTTTAATGGGGTTGCTCCCCATTGCTTGTTTTTGTCAAGTTTGTCAAAGATCAGTTGGTTGTAGATGTGTGGTGTTATTTCTGAGGCCCCTGTTCTGTTCCATTGGTCTATTTGTCTGTTTTGGTACCAGTACCATGCTGTTTTGCTTACTGTAGCTTTGTAGTATAGTTTAAAGTCAGGTAGCGTGATGCCCCCAGTTTTGTTCTTTTTGCTTAGGATTGTCTTGGCTACATGCGCTCTTTTTTGCTTCCATATGCAATTTAAAGTAGTTTTTTCTAATTTTGTGAAGAAAGTCAATGGTAGCTTGATGGGAATAGCATTGAGTCTATAAATTACTTTGGGCACTATGGCCATTTTCACGATATTGATTCTTCCAACCCATGAGCATGGAACGTTTTTCATTTGTTTGTGTCCTCTCTTGTTTCCTTGAGCAGTGGTTTGTAGTTCTCCTTGAAGAGGTCCTTCACATCCCTTGTAAGTTGTATTCCTATGTATTTTATTCTCTTTGTAGCAATTGTGAATCGGAGTTCACTCATGATTTGGGTCTCTGTTTGTCTATTATTGGTGTATAGGAGTGCTTGAGATTTTTGCACATTGATTTTGTATCCTGAGACTTTGCTGAAGTTGCTTATCAGCTTAAGGAGATTTTGGGCTGAGACAATGGGGTTTTCTAAATATACAATCATGTCATCAGCAAAAAGAGACAATTTGACTTCCTCTCTTCCTATTTGAATTCCTTTATTTCTTTCTCTTGCCTGATTGCCCTGGCCAGAACTTCCAATACTATGTTGAATTGGAGTGGTGAGAGAGGGCATCCTTGCTTTGTGCCAGTTTTCAAAGGGAATGCTTCCAGCTTTTGCCCATTCACTATGATATTGACTGTGAGTTTGTCATAAATAGCTCTTATTATTTTGAGATACATTCCATCAATACCTAGTTTATTAATTTAAACGCACGTACTCTTTGGCTCACTAATGACACTTTGTGGTCTAAGGCCTAAAATTAAGGCCTCATATTCTGCACATATTGGCATCCAGGGAAAACTGGGAGACCCTCGAATGGGCCTCCCCATTGTGTTCCAGCAGATAAAATATGCTATTAAAATAGCTCTTTATATCATGGGCACCAAACACAATGCCTATTTATTTCTGAGTCCCTCAGTTCCCTGCTAGTCCACAGAATGATTCAAACAAGCCAATCACATCCTCCTTTGGGAACCAGGAGTTACACCACCTTCTTGTTACTACAAAGCTTGCCTCCCACAGACCCTGCTTGTTTACTCTGTTCCTAAGTGTAGCCCCATATGGCTCTGCATGGCATAAAATGTCCTCAGCCTGTGAGTATATGTGACTAATACACTACTGTTGATCTCATCTATCTAGTGTTGGGTGTCATGGTTTTGGCCATCCCTATGACTTTAGGTCAAAAATCCCTTTCTCACCAGTGGGAAGCAGAGGAGGTGATCAAAACACACTGCTAGGAATTTCACATCAAATATAATGTCCATCAATAGATAACTGTAACTAAAGTGTGGAGTGCCCAGATGATGGAGCACAATTTGGCAGTTAAAAACACTGAGGTACACAAAAAATTAAAAATAGAATTACCATATTATCCACCAATCTCACATCTGGTATTGAAAAAAAAAGAAATCAGGATATCAAGAAGATATCTGCCCTCCAATGTTTACTGCAGCATTATTCACAATAGCCAAAATATGGAACAACCTAAATGTCCATAGAGGGATAAAAAAACAGAGAAAATGTTTCATATATGTACAATGGAATTTTATTTAACCTTAAAAAGGAAGGAAATCCTGCCATACAGGACAACATGGATGAACCCGGAAGTCATTTTGTTAAGTGAAGTAAGCTAGGCACGGAAAGAGTGATACTCCTTGATCCCACTTATATGAGGAATCTAAAATAGTCAAACTCATAGAACCAGAGAGCAGAAAAGTGGTTTCTAGGAGCTAGTGGGAGAGGGAAATGGGGAGTTTGCTGTTCCACGGGTATAAAATTTCAGTTATAAAAGGTGAATAACCGGTGAAACCCCATCCTTACTAAAAATACAAAAAATTAGCTGGGCGTGGAGGCGGGCGCCTGTAGTCCTGGCTACTCGGGAGGCTAAGGCAGGAGAATCAGCTTGAATCCGGCAGGCAGAGGTTGCAGTGAGCCAAGATTGTACCACTGCACTCCAGCCTGGGCGACAGAGCGAGACTCCATCTCAAAAAAAAAAAAAAAAAAAAAAAAAAAAGGTGAATAACTTCTAGAGATCTGCTGTACGACGTTGTGCCTATAAATAACAATACTGAATTGTACATTGAAAATTTTGTTAGGAAGGTTGATGTCACATTGTGTTCTTGTCACTAAAAAAAGACTGAGGCATATCTGTTTTTGATTATTTAGAAAAATCTCTAACACACACTATTAAGTGGAAAAGTTTAGATTTGTAGTATCATGCCAATTGTTTGGCACTAATTCAACACTGCACTCAAAAGGGCAGTGTTGAATTAGAGATTTTTAATAGTCATTTCAAAGGAGTTTCATTTAAGTACAAATATATAACTCAGCTCCTCATTTAACCAAGATACATACTTAAAACAGGAAACTCTGCATCCCTATATCGGTGTTGTCATTTAATGTTATTTTAAAAAGAAAAGCAAAGAACCAAACTCTTAGAAGTGTCCTTGAGGCTGAGAAAATAACAGAAGATTTCTATTATTATACATTGCAATATAAGCCAAGTGAAGTCACTTGTTAAGTACAGTTATCTGGTTACCTGGCTAAAGTTTCAGCTTTCACCTAGATTGCCTGGGTTATTGGAATACTACTCTTTTCACTAAATCAACAAGATAATTGCCTCCCTCCTTCACCTCAGCCACAGGTTTAGGTTTCATGATGCCTTGCAAAGTGAAAGTGGCTTGAGAGTCCAATAGAAAAACAAAACTGACTTCAACTTCAAGCTTCCCTGGGAAAAAATTCATCTTTTCTTTTAAATGTTCACTTTTTTTTCCTTCTCTAAATGTGTATTCACAGTTTTACTGCGAATTGACTTGTATTACCTTATTTATTTTCTTAGTAAAAATATGCTCTTAGGAACTTTAAAAATAACTGCTCTTCCCCTATATGCTTCTTAACAGGCATTGTCATAATAGGTTGCCTTTAGCATTGCTAGTGCTAAGACCCCAGCACACTTCCAGCAAATCAAATCAGGTTTTATTTAGGTCAGTTTAAAGAATGAATCATGTTTGGATGTCCTCTAAATGAATTACAAATTAATTAGCTGAGTGTGATCAGCGTTGTATTCATTATCACTTCCATTATGATAGCTATGTATGTTAGCTTGCACTGGAGAATATGATGTAAAGGAAAATAATGGGAATATTTATGCTGGCTGTGATGATGAATTATTTGAATCTACATAGAATCTTACTATAATTTATCTTGCTCTCTGTTTTATTCTAAGAATTTTAGCTCTGCAACTATTGTGCAATCAATGTTGGCTGAACACCTAATGTTACTTTTCCGTTGTAAATAACTAGAGGATTAGTCTTCTTAATTTAAAAAAACTTAGATGGCATGTTTTGATTCATTTATTGGAAACGTAATTTAGTATTAGTACTTACAATAACTGTTACTCATCAGGGATTTTTTAAGTAGGAGAGAAAAGATTTAGGTGATAATGAAATTTATTCGCACACACACACAAAATATGATATATCTTATGAAGAAGCATGCTTTAAATATTCAATCTAACTTCACTTTCTTGGTAGTAAACCAAGAATTCATATATTTATTTTCCTTTCGGTGGCTGAATTTACTATTCAAAAGCTTGTAACTTTAAAAGAAACATGCTTGCAACTGTTGTTTAGTATTACATCAGTTTTAGCTATGGTAACCCTTTTTATTAAGTCATGTTTTATATGTTGTGTATATTATTTTCCACTGTTTCCTGAATCTAACTTAGGAGGTTTCATTTTAAATTTCAGTTAGAAAGGAAATGTTGAAAACATTGTATGTCTAAGGAGTATTTGAGGACTAGCCTCTGTGTGGGACTTGATCATATCATCTTAGGCAGAAGAACGCAACAGAACCCCATACCTCAAGCCAGGAATTGCAACAGTTGTCCCAGATTCACTCTCACAGTCTCTCTCTCTCTCTGTCTCTCTCATTTTTTTCTCTCCCTATTTCATCAGAAGCACACACACAGGGCTTTGCAGGATATATATATTTTAATTAAAGCCTGTGTTTAGATTTTTCCACCACCTCTGAAAATAATTTGAGGCATCACTGGAAAAAAAAACAACTAGAAAAACTCAGATATTTCTATTTATAGCTCTGCCATGGACTCTCTGTGCCCTGTTGAATGAGTCCTTTGACCTAGCTTTTCCTGATGCCTTATCAGCAAAGTAGAGGTCATTATTCTATCATGTTTCTAACTTACTTCCTAGGGATACTGAGGATTCATTGAAATAAAACAACATGTAAATCCGATAGTTTATTGGATAAAGAAAACCTAAGAACAAAAAGGGTAGGCTTATTATGAAACTTGACGAGGCCATAAATATGATTTTAGGGCTACGTGATCTCCTTACTTTTCTCTTATTTACCTTTTTAATTCATTATAATATCAATAGGAAACTAATATCTAGATTTGTATGGCAAATCTAGATTAACTTATCAAAAGGCAACACACTAATATAAGCCTGTCTTTGCTTTTTCTGTGTTTGGTATGTGAATGTAAATATCTGTACTATAGAAAAAAGTTTAAAAGAGTATACATTAAAATGTTAACAAGCATTATTTCTAATATGTAAGTGATTTAAATTATCTTATTTTTTACCTGTATTTTATACAATGAACATGTATTATTTTAAAACTATTTTAAATCAACATTGCTTAATTGCTATCAGTTCAAAAATTCTATGCATTTCCTCCTAACACACTGTATTGTTATGGAAATTTAAAAAATAAAAATGCTTATTTTCAGAACGGGAGGACTGAATAAGAATTGTGAAATAAATTTTGCTAGTATCGTAGCACATCTCACCCTGATGCTTCTCTTTATAATATTATTTCCTTTGATTATTCTAAACTTTAAAATTCAAAACAATTTAAAAATGTGTTTTTCAGCTACAGGACCGCACTCAGTTCAGTGACCGAGACTTAGCCACCCTTAAGAAGTATTGGGACAATGGCATGACCAGCCTGGGCTCTGTTTGTAGAGAGAAAATTGAAGCTGTGGCAACTGAATTAAATGTTGACTGTGAAATAGTTCGGGTAAGACATTTTCTATAATTTTCATGCTATAGTTGCTGAATGGCATAAATGAAAGCTTTAAAATCTTACATGAGGTGCTCCAAGCAATGCTAGCAATAAAGTGAAAAGATAACCCACAGGATAGGAGATATTTTGAAATCATATATCTGATAAGGAATATGTATCAAAGGATGTAAAGAACACTTACAAGTCAATAATAAAATTGCAAATAACCCAATTTTAAAAATAGGCAAAGGAAATGAATAGATATTTGTTTTAAAAAGATATACATATTGCCAATATTTACCTGAAATTATGTTCAACATCATTAGTCATTATGGAAATGAAAATAAAAACCACAAGTTGCCATTTATCCACTGTAACAATATTAACATAAAAGGTATATAATAATGAGTTTTGGCCAGGATATGGAGAAATTGTAGCCCTGATACGTTGCTGGTAAGAATGTAAAATATTTTAGCAACTTTGACAACAGTCCTCAAAAAGTTTAACACAGAGTTATCATATGACCAAAAATTCCACTGCTGGAATGGATTTCAATCTACTCAAAAGAATAAAAAATGTATATCCAACTCAAAAAGTTGCACACTGATATTCATAACAGAGTTTTCCATAATATCCAAATGGAAACAACCCAAACATCCACCAAGTGAATGTATAGACAACATCTGGATATATGCATATAATGGACTATTATAGAGCCATATAAAGGAATGAAATATTCATATGTGCTATAAAACGGATGAACCTTAAAAACATTATGCTAAATGAAAGAAACCCATTGCAAAAGACCACATATTATATTATTTCATTTATATGAAGTGTCCTCATTAGGCACACTCTAGAGACAGAAAATAGGTTAGTGGTGCCAAGAGCTGAGGGAGGGGAGGGATGGGACCTGACTGTTAATATGCATGGGATTTATTTTTGGCATGATGAAAATGTTCTAGATTAGTTAGTGGTGACTGGTGCACAGCACTGTGAATATGTTGAAAACATTTTAATTGTACATATTAAATAAATGAATTGTGTGGTGTTTTAAATATATCTCAATAACATTGTTTAAAAATTACATGAGGTGAATTGAAATATATCTCATATAATGAATGATAGATAAAAATTTATTTTACATTCCCACCTACAGTGTAAAAGTGTTCCTATTTCTCCACAGCCTTGCCAGCATCTGTTGTTTCTTGACTTTTTAATAATTGCCATTCTGATTGGCGTGAGATGGTATTTCATTGTGGTTTTAATTTGCATTTCTCTAAAGATTAGTGATGTTGAGCTTTTTCTCATGTTTGTTGGCTGCATAAATTTCTTCTTTTGAGAACTCTCTGTTCATGTCCTTTGCCCACTTTTTAATGGGGTTGTTTGTTTTTTACTTGTAAAATTGTTTAAGTTCCTCGTAGACTGTGTATATTAGACCTTAGTCAGATGGGTATATTGTAAAAAATTTCTCTTTCTGTAAGTTTTCTATTCACTCTGATTATAGTTTCTTTTGCTGTGCAGAAACTCTTTTGTTTAATTAGATCCCATTTGTCAATTTTTGCTTTTGTTGCAATTACTTTTGATGTTTTTGTCATAAAATCTTTTGCCCATGCCTATGTCCTGAATGGTATTGCCTTGATTTTCTTCTAAGGTTTTTATAGTTTTGGGTTTTACATTTAAGTCTTTAATCCAACCATTGTGAAAAACAGTGTGGTGATTCCTCAAAGACTTAAAACCGGAAATACCGTTTGACCCAGCAATCCCATTACTGGGCATGTACCCAAAGGATTATAAATCATCCTATTATAAAGATACATGCACACGTATGTTCATTGCAGCAGTATTCACAATAGCAAGGACATGGAAGCAACCCACATGTCCATCAGTGATAGACTGGATAAAGAAAATGTGATACATATACAACATGGAATACTATGCAGCTATAAAAAGGAATGAGATCATGTCCTTTGCAGGGCCATGGATGAAGTTGGAAGCCATTATCCTCAGCAAACTAACATAGGAACAGAAAACCAAACCCCACATGTTCTCACTTATAAGTAGGAGCTGAACAATGAGAACACATGGACACAAGGAGGGGAACAACACACACTGGGGCCTGTTGGGGGGTGGGGGAAGGGAGAGCAACAGGAAAAAAGCTAATGTATACAAGGCTTAATATCTAGTTCATGGGTTGATAAGTGCAGCAAACCCCTTCCACGGCACACATTTACCTTTGTAACAAACCTGCAGGTCCTGCACATGTATCCTAGAACTTAAAATAAAATAAAATAAAATAAAATTTTAAAAATTATACTGATCAATCATTGGAACAGTAGTTTATGTTCCATTTAAAAGATAAAATTTTGAAAGTGGTAGTGCTGGTAAGTACTTAGCAATCAATTCTTTAAGGAAAAAAAAAGCCTTAATTAATAGTATTTGCTGATTTCCGTGGTGTAAAGATTCCTACCACAGCTGATTCCATGTCTCACTCAACACAGAGTTGGGAAGAGATGCTAACAGTTGACGCTTGTGAGCAAGTGTAGGTTGACACCAGTACACACACTGGAGGATCATCTCAGTAGATCAAGAGGGAAGTATATTAAAGAAGTGACAAAGAGCCAGGCTTGGTAGTACATACCTGTAGTCCCAGCCACTCAGAAGGCTGAGGTGGAAGGATCACTTGAGCCCAAGAGTTCAAGTGCAGCCAGGACAACCTAATGAGACTCCAGCTCTTATCTCATATATATATGAAGAAAAGAGCAATATAGAGAGAATTTTTGAGTAGAGATTTCTGAAAATAAATACTATTCTCAAAATAAGTACTGCCCTGTTCAGAGTCTTGCTTTTTCTTGTTAGAATCCAGATGGAAAATCAAATTCAATACTGTGTTTGTTGAGCATGCTGCTATGTGTTAAAGTATACTAACAAGGAGAGAGAAGTGCATTAGACATTATTTCTATTTTAAGGAGCTCAGAGTCTAGCAAGAGGGATGACACAAGAAAAAAAATGACTGAAGAGGAATTGGAGTAGAGTCATAGTATGAGGAGCTTAAGCAACAGCCAAAAATAGGGAAATGTAGAGCATGTGTTCTTGTTGTCATTGTCATTTTTATTTTTTTTAAATCAAAGTTATATACGTATATAGCTTAGGAAGTCAAGTTCTGTAGAATTTGCTACAACACCAACATTCCTCACTCCTTCCTTCCTACCATTTTGCAATAGCCCGAGTTGAACCACTTTCCACTTTTAGTTATTTCCTTCAGTATTTACTTTCATCTATGAATGATGTGTTGTATTAATTAGAATTAGGTTTAGCTGTAAGTATTAAAAAGACCCAAAAGTAACAATGGCTTAGACAAGATATTTCAATTCCATGTATAAGTCCATGTATATGCAATTTACAGCTAGCATGGCAGTTTGGCTCTACAATATCCACAAAAACCCTGATGCCTTCCAGTTTCCATTCCGCTGTCCCTGTGATGTGGCCCTTTTTATCAAGGCCCAAAATGATAGCATACATACTCAAGGCAGCATGACAGAGAGGGAGAAGAATAAGGGGCAAAGGCTGTTCACCAGCTGTCTTTTAACAAGGATTTCTGGAAACTGCCATGAGATCTGTTCACTTATATCCCATTGGCTAAAGATTAGTCACATGGTCATACCAAACTACAAGAGAAGCTGCAAATGTAATTTTACTGTGAGCAACCATGTGCCCAGCTAAATCTTCTATTATTCTGGAAGGTGAGGACAAATATGGGGAATAGACAGCAGTCTCTCTTATATGTTTACATTGCAACTTCCTGATTTGTTCAATGTTGGGCATAGTCTATTGATTTTTCACTGTGAAATGCAAAGCTTAAAAAAAAATCTCTTTAAGATTTCCTCATTGATCTGTTCACTTACATGCATAATTCCTCTCTCCTTATCCTCCTATAACTTTGGTCAGCTTGGTATTCATTATTATGACTATGTAAATGCTTTACACATTTGAATTATGTAGTGAAATATCATTTTTTCCTTTTCTGCATAACTTAGCATTGTTTTATTTCCCTGTAGTTCATAATTTACTTAATTTATGCTTTTGATATTCATATGTTTGCTTGAGTTATTTTCTAGGTACTCACTACTAATTTATCTTTAAACCCTTTCCCAGTTGCCTAAGTCTCCTTTCAACACATTCATACTCATTGGTAATATAATAATTCCATCATCTTAGAGAAATAGCTCCTGGCATTTTTCTGATCTGCTCCAACTGAATTGGTTATTTTATGCACCTGGACTCTAAGATTTCCACTTCCAATCTGTTTTTCCTTTTGCTCTACTTTCAGCAAGATATCCCTTAATTTATTCTCCAATTTCTCTACTGAGTTTTTCATTTTTTAAAAAACTTCATCATGCCTCTGGTACTAATAAGTACCTTGTGCCATGACAACAGTGTTCAGGTTCTATGGACAGCCATAGAGCCTCCTTGAGACAGCCATACTGCAAGAGAGGAGACACGGACAGAATCTCTTTAAAAACATACACTCCCAAAATAAAGATAAGATATCCACAGGAGGGCCGGGCGCGGTGGCTCACGCCTGTAATCCCAGCACTTTGGGAGGCCGAGGTGGGCGGATCACAGGTCAGGAGATCGAGACCATCCTAGCTAACATGGTGAAACCCCGTCTCTACTAAAAATACAAAAAATTAGCCAGGCGTGGTGGCGGGCGCCTATAGTCCCAGCTACTCGGGAAGCTGAGGCAGGAGAATGGCGTGAACCTGGGAGGCGGAGCTTGCAGTGAGGCGAGATCGCGCCACTGCACTCCAGCCTGGGCGACAGAGCAAGACTCCATCTCAAAAAAAAAAAAAAAAAAAAAAAAAAGATATCCACAGGATTCCTGGCTAGTGTTCTCTCTGATATCAAGAGATTTTAGGCACACTTACTGTGAAAAATGGCCAAAACTATTAACATCAGTTCCCCCTTTGGCATTACTATATACAGAGTTTCTTATTCCTACACAAAGATCGTAATCTGTGAAAAAGGAGGAAGAATTTTACCATTTTCTTCTTGCTTAATATTTGTTCAGACTCATATTAGATGAAAGAATAAGGAACTGTTTACTATCCTTTTGTTTCTCATGATTTTCCAACATACTAGAATGCTCATGGCAGAGAGAAAATTTGGAGGTGATATGTTTTAAGAGGACCTCTTCTGTAACATATGGTAAATTACTCTAAGGGAGAATATGTTTGCAACATAAATATATTCTTGAGATTTCAGGAAAAACTATTTATATGTTTTTAAGTCTAATATACATTCTAATTACTAATCACCAAAATGAACTTCACCTTAGGATGTCTAGTTAACCATTACTTACGGTATAATTTGAAAGTTTCAGATTTTTTTTTAATGTCTTGTACTTCTAAGAAGTATAGGAAGCAAACTTGGTATACTTTTTCTTTGACCTTGTCAATGATTGTTAATTATGTGCATGTTTTTCTTCATCTTGAAATGCCATTTACAGGTTAGTGCCTATTTACCGACTTACTCATTTAGCAAAGGTAAACTGGACACCTATTAGGTGCCAGAACTTTTTTTTTTTTTGTCCTGCTACATTCCTTTAGTATTATTATTTTTATTATACTTTAAGTTCTAGGGTACCTGTGCACAATGTGCAGGTTTGTTACGTGCGTATACTTGTGCCATGTTGGTGTGCTGCACTCATTAACTCGTCATTTACATTAGGTATATCTCCTAATGCTATCCCTCCCCCCTCCTCCCACCCCACGACAGGCCCTGGTGTGTGATATTCCCCTTCCTGTGTCCAAGTCTTCTCATTGTTCAATTCCCACCTATGAGTGAGAACATGCGGTGTTTGGTTTTTTGTCCCTGCGATAGTTTGCTGAGAATGATGGTTTCCAGCTTCATCCATGTCCCTATAAAGGACCTGAACTCATCATTTTTTATGTATGTGCCAGAACTTTTCTAAGTGCCATTGGAAAAATGCAACTCTCTCAAGGAACTTGAAATTTAGTGTGATCAATTATTCCTAAATGAGGATAATACATTGGAGAAATATTTTGAGATATTACATGTGGACAATAAGTTGGAAGCACTGTTAAGTCCTCGAGGACAATTAGTTCCCCACTGCTCCATCTTGCTACAATTCAGTTTAATGCCTGTCCTTTCCATCTGTGTTATGGTTATAGTGGACATACATTAAAGTGTACCCTTGCATGGTCAAATATTGATAGAATCAACATATTTTATGATTGAGATACATTTTGCGGGACTTAAATAAAGTTCATAGAAAACAACTTTATGTTTTTATATTTTAGATTATATTTATTTTCAAAGGAGCATGGCTAGATTTGAAATGCCTTGAAATGGAACAATGTTTATACAGTATATGGCAAACTCCCTATTATCTATTACACACATTGATTTAGAGCTGGGGGGGCACCTTGGGGTTGAGTTCAATGCCTATATATGTGTGTGTGTGTGCGTGTGTGTATGTATGTGTATATATATATATATATATATATATATATATATATATATATATGTGTGTGTGTGTATATATATATATGTCTCTTTATTCCCAATCTAACATTATTCCCAGTTCCACCTTACTAGTGTATGCCTTACCATAAGAAATAACTTGGATACTTCTTAAAAATATAGATCACCCTATTCTAGACCTACCGAAACAGAATTTGCAAGAAAGGCCCAGAGAATCTTTATGTTTCCCTTCCCCAAATTATTCTTAAGATCAGGTAAATTTGGAAAAAACTTTACAACACTATGTGATGATTGCAGCTAAATATTCTAGCGTGTTCTTTTTATCCATAACACTTGGTCAAATTTTATAATTTATATTTGTTTTTCTATTTGCTTATCACCTGTACATATGCATTTCTGTTGTTTATCATCTATATTTATACATTTAAGTTCCCTGAGGAAAAGACTATACCTATTATATTCACCTATTATATTCACCATCCCAAGCACCAGAAACAGTGTTTGGTACATAGTAAATTTTCAGTAATATATGTGGAATGAATGAATGAATATCTAACAGAAAAGTGTACCCTCTATATATAGCATACATGAACTAACAAATACTACATTTAAATAACTACATTTAAAATAAAAGTTTGGAATATAGCTTCATATTGTTTAATAGAAAGATACTTAGAAATGTACAGGGCTTTAGAGTACTCATTTTTAATAGCCATTATGTTTGTGGTGTTAATACATAGGTGTTCTGGTTGAAAAGATTCACTACTATTTTTAGATTTGTGACCATTCTGGTGGGAAATTTATTATTCAGGAAAGTAAAGAATTTGGAAATTATTTTCCTAATTTTGCACATAAATAATCTGAGGCTTAGAGTGATAAAATAACTTGTCCATTGATCATATAAAATGGTTGAAAAACCTAAATATTTTAAAGTAGGGGTTTCTAATCTGAAACAGTGAAAAAAATACCATTCACATAATTGATAGCTGGAATGTAGAAGGGAGAGTTCAGGGTGAAGAAGATCTGAAGCAAAGAACTGGAAACAATACCTCAATGAAATAAAACCATAGATATTGGTTCAGTTTAAGGAAGAGCATTATGAAAACACTTACAAAACCAACTGGGAACCTTTCAGAGTGGTATGTTTTATATCCCTGATATTTTCATGCAAAAAGAGGATGGAAACTTCAGACGCTCAACAGATTGTATGATACCCACTCACATTAGTAAAAGTGATCTTCTTAACAGTCTATATACTCAAATTCTAATCTCTGCCAGTAACAATCTCAGGGACACACCTAGAAATAATGTTTTGCCAGCTATCTGGGAAACATTTAGCTCAGTTATATTGACACATAAAATTAACTATCACAGCCTGCTATAATACAATATTATAGATTGGTTGTCTTATAAACAACAGAAATTTATTCTTAATTGTTCTGGAGGCTGAGGAATCAAAGACCAAGGTGCTGGAAGGTCAGAAGTATGGAAAGCCCACTTCCTAGACAGCTATCTTTTTGCTGTAACCTCTCATGGCAGAAGGGGCAAGGAGTCTCCCTGGGGTCTCCTTTATAAAAGCACTACATTTATGAGAGACCCATTCTCATTACCTATTTACCTCCAAAAGGTCCCACCTTTTAACACTAGTACCTTGGGGGTTAGGATTTTAACACGTTAATTTGGAGTAGGGGAGACAAATATTCAGGCCAGAGCAGACTCCAGGATTAACTCAGTTATCCATGATTCTGTAAAAATGTACTAAACCCATTAGCATTGTATTTATACATTGAATCATTTTTCTAGTGCCTTCTAGTTTTGAGGAATATCCAAAGAGGAAATATTTTAGCTTTAATTTACAATAAAATATCACATACTTCCAATATTCACATAACATATTGTTTTACCTTTATCATTGTACATTTTATAATCACTCATTTCTCTCAAAAAGGGTGCAAAAGAAGTGGAAGATAAATAGAAACTTCGTTTCTGCTTTTTTTTTCTTCACTCTTCCCCAGCTTTTATGACCCAAATGGAGCAAAAATCATCCTAGGGAGACTGGTCTTTTCCTCCTTCTGCTCATACCATCATTTTCACAACTATTGGTGGCTAAGATTATTGTAAAAGAAAAGCTTCTGCATTTACAATTTGTTGTGTTCATGAGTAGAAAATAGAGAGATTACATGACAATTTTAAGAAGCTTTAGTAAGAAATTGCCATTCTTTATCTTTTCTGAATTATAGCAATCCATTTTCAACGTTATGATGGATGTAATGAGAAATTGGGTGCTAGAGTCAATAATAATTTAATTGTACATTATAAAATCACTAAAAGTATAATTGGACTGTTTGTAACACAAAGGATAAATGCTTGAGGGGATGAATACCCAGTGTTCCATGATGTGATTATTATGCTTTGCATGCCTGTACCAAAATGTCTCATGTGCCTCGTAAATATATACACCTAATATATACCTACAAAAATTAAAAATAAAAAAGTGTTAAAAGGAAAAAATAAATGGAATTCTCCTTTTTAAACTAGTATTTCTCCTATGAAAGAAATTATCAAAGCTAAGAAAATTAGTATCCATACAGATTTTTATTTCATACTAGGCAATTTTCTCTTTGGTGTGTACAAAGTAATTCATGTGTTTCAAACTTCACATTTAGTGTCAATGCTAAACACATCCAAGGAACTACATTTCATAAACTTGAAGGGAAAATTCCCCCCATCAAATATAAAGAAGAATTCGTCTTTTTGGACTAACTAAATAGTTCTTCTGTTTTGCCCTGCATATTTTTTGAAATCTAACCAAGTATAAAATTTAACTTCATTCATGTTTTTTATTTACACAAAGAGTATCTAAGGTGGCTTTGTATTTATGTAGCCCTATTGTATAGAAGAAATTCTAGTTGGTATAAAAGGCATCATAATCAAATTTACAGCTGAAAGTCTAAACTGTTATTTAGTGGTTTTCTACACTACTTTAGGTTTTAAGAATCCTTCTTGACATGGCAAAACTAGAAAGGTTACAAATTCGAGTCATATAAAGTGGTCTTTCTGAAAATTGCGTAAGAAACGTGGGAATAAAACTGGTTTCAGACTGTTGCTTCTGAGAAAATGGAGTGGACATAATTTTCCCTATTCTTCTCATTAAGTAGAACTAATATCCCTGGACATTATATAAATAGCAAACATAAGAAGACTCTGAAGGGTGGAAAGAAGTCACATCTGCTAGGGACCATGGGACCCCATGAATGACACTCACACAATGGTGAGTTTCCTGGGTTTTCTTTTGCTTCATATACCCCAGAATAGATACTGGAAAAGCCAACAATCAAGAAACACCAATAGGTGCAAACAAATGGAAAAAGGAAAGAAAAAGAAAAGCCTGGCCTCTCTCAGCCAAGAACCAGGAAAAGGGCAGTCTAACATGACAGAAAATGTTTAGATAATGACTTCTTTACTCCAGCCAAATACCACGGGGAAAAACTGCAGCCACACCCACCCCTACAAGAAAAGGCCAAATGGAGGACCAAGACTTCTGCCTCACCAGGCTGTGGAACAGCTAGATGCCCCCACCTCCGCAAAGCAAAACAAAACAAAACAAACCAACAAACAAAAAACACTCACTGATGGGATGGTGTCAGATAAGAAAGAGTGGAGAGCTGGAATAAAAATCCTTCCTCCACCATTCCCTTGCAATGTCACTAGAAGACTTTTATCCCCTCCTGCACTTAGAGGTGATGATGAGCCCTTCCTCCTCCTCATTGGGGTGGTATCAGAAGATGCCTACTGGAGCTCCTGGGCTCCCAACTCCACCCAGGAGTAAAAGAAGTCTCTTTCCCCACTGGATGTCAATGGAAGTCCAGTGGACAACCTGGAATTTACCCTCTTGTGACTGTCATAAGATAGATAGATGATAGATAGATAGATAGATAGATAGATAGATAGATAGATAGATAGCCTGGATCAATCACTAAAAAGTCATACAAAGGGATACAGAAAAGTTCTATACATAAATATAAATGGAATTCTAAATATTTAAAAATACCCCACAGGAATGCAGGGGAAAAATACAACAAAATACACTAAAAGAAATGAAGGCAGAAAATGAAATGACATATTGACGCTTTAACATAGAAATAATTGCATTAAATTTAAATGGTCTAAATTCACAAACTAAAATACAGAAATTTGCAAATTGGATTTTTAAAAATGACCTAACTTGATGTTGTCTACAATAAATTAAAATATCATGATATGTGTAGTTTGAAAGTAAAAAGATAGAAAACATATAGAATGCAAACATGAATCAAAATAAAGCAGGAGTTGATACAATAATATCGGATAAAGTAAACTTCAGAGCAAAGGAAATTACAGGGGACAAAGTGGGACACTGTATAATAATAACAGGGTAAATTTTATCAAGGAGACATTGCAATTCTGAATGTGTATACATCAGATATCACAGAACTACAAAATATGTGAAGCAACAACTAAAAATTCTCAAAAGAAGAATAAGCAAATCCAAAATTATATTTGGAGATTTCATCAGCCTTCTCTCAACAGCTGCTACAGTTATTACATAGAAGAATATTAGTAATATAGAACCCCAAAACACCCTCAATCCATAGGGTGTAATTGACTAGTAGAATGCACAACCCAACAAAAATAAAATACACACTTTTCAAGTGCTCATGGAATACACAAAAAGAGTAAATCCTGGACCACAAGACAAACCTCAATAAATTTTAAAAATCTAAATCATACAGAATATGTTCCTGACCACTATTGCATCAAAGTAGAAATCAATAACAGAAAGATATCAGAAAAATTTCCATACACTTAGAGGTTATGCAAGACATTTCTAAATAATCCGTGGGTCAAAGAGGGAGTCTTTTTTCAGTTTTTATAGGTTTTGGGGTATAAGTGCAGTTTTGTTACACACATATATTGTGTGGTGGTGAAGTCTGGGCTTTGAGTGTACCTGTCACTCGAATAGTGAACATTGTACCCAACAGGTGATTTTTCAACCCTCACCCCTCTTCTACCCTCCCATGTTTTAGAGTTTTCATTGTCTATTATTCCACTCTCTATTGCCATGAATACCCACTGTTTAGCACCCACTTACAAGTGATATCATGTGTTATTTGACTTTCTGTTTGAGTTATTTCACTTAGAATAATGGCCTGTAGTTCCATTTATGTTACTACAAAAGACATGATTTTATTCTTTTTTTAAGACTGAGTAGTATTCTATGGTGTGTGTGCACACACACACACACACACACACAGGGCTAGGGTTAAGGTCAAGGGTTAAGGGGGTTAGGGGTTAGGGTTGTTTATATATATATATATATATATACACACACACATAAACATATAGATGTACATATATACACATATATATACATCTATATGCTTATGTATGTGTGTATATATATATATACACACACACATTTATACATATATGTAACAACCCTAACCCTAGCTCCTAACTCCCTTAATGCCTAACCCTAACCATACACACACACACACACACACACACACACACACACACACACACACACATATATATATATAATTTTTAAATAAGTCATAAGGGAATAAAATGAAATTGGACTTCTAGTTTCTGGTCTGGCATGTGAGGAGCCTAGAAGTTGTCAGTTCATCTTAACAAATAAAACGTTGAACAAACTGAAAATCAACAATTCTTCTTAGATATGACAGATAAGTGAAGGTACAGGGCAAACCACTGACCCCAAAATTGGTGAGACAAATAGGCAGATACAGAGAATCACAACTTACTGGAGCAGAATTCCATGAGCAGAAACCTCCATGGGAACCATTACCAAGGCAGGAAAACCTAAACTGTAACTGATGAATTGCTGGAGGCTCAGTGTAGACAAGTCTGAAAGTTAGGAATTCCAGGGTGTACAATCATGGAGGGGGTGACACTTTTGTGAGTTTTACTCCCAGAGGCTGTATCAGATTCTCACTGTGAATATTGGAGAAAAACTCCCTCATGCTCTTGACAGGAAGAATGGAAAAGTAACAATTTTTAAGAAACATTAGAACGTTCTGTTAAGAAAGCCTGCTTTTAAGAGCAAATATTTTACCAGAGCCTAACCTATTGGGATTTTATCATGACCTAACTATCCTAGGGCAAAAGTAAACAACAATAATAACCAAATACAGCCCCCTTTAGCCATCTTGTCCCACCTAAGGTAGAGGAAAAACTGATAAGCACTTCAAAAGTTCACAGGCCACGGCAAAGATTCACTAAAAGACTGAGATCTCATCATAGGACTATAGGATGCTTTAACTTCCTCCTAACCTGAACACTACATCGCCAAATGCCTAGTTCTTTTAGTTCTTTTAACCCAGTACATCACGTTCAACTTTTAATAAAAATGACAAGGCATAACAAAAGGCAAAAAACAAACAAACAAAAGCAAAACAACAAAACAAAGAAAGAATTTGAAGAGACAGAGCAAGCATCAGAACTACATTCATACATGACAGGGATGTTAGAATCGTCAGACGAGGAATTGGGAAGAACTATGATTAACATGCTAAGGGCACTAATGGAAAAAGTAGACAACATACAAGAACAGAATGGTAATGTAAGCAGAGGCATGAACATTCTAAGAAAGGATAAAAAACAAATGCTAGAGACCAAAAACAGTAACTGAAATGAAGAAAGCTTTTGATGGTCTCATTAGCAGACTGGACATGGCTGTGGAAATAATTTCTGAACTTGATGATATATCAATAGAAACTTCCAAAACTGGAGAGCATAAAACAAAAATATTGATTAAAAATGGAACATAATATACAACAACTGTGGGACAAATATAACAGGTGTAACATATGTCTAATGGGAATACCACCAGAAAGAGAAAAAAAGGGAAAATAGAACAGAAGAAATATTCAAAACCATAATAACTGAGAATTTTCCCTAAATTAATGTAACATATCAAACCACAGATCCACAATGCTTGGCGTACACCAAGCAGGATAAATGCAAAACAAACAATAAAAAAAACTACACCTAGGCATATCATACTCAAACTGTAAAAATCATTGATAAAGAAAAAGACTTGAAAGAAGCCAGAGGGGGAAAACAAATACCTTAATTACAGAGGAGCAAAAATAAGAATTAAATCTGACTTTTCCTCAGAAACTATGCAAGCAAGAAGGCAGTAGAATGAAATATTTAAAGTGTTGAGAGGAAAAAACAAACAATACCAACCCAGAATTCTGTACTCAGTGAAATTATCCTTCAAATGTGAAGGAGAAATAGACTTTTTCAGACAAAAATTGAAGGAATTTGTTGCCAGTAGAACTGCCTTTCAAGAAATGTTGAAAAGTCCTTCAGATACAAGGGAAATCATATAGGTCAGAAATGCAGAGCTACATAAAGGAAGAGCATTAGAGAAATAATATTGAAGGTAAAAGTACATTGAACAGTACAAAAGGAACAAAATACCAAATTTGTGGGATGCAGATAAGTAGTGCTGAGAGCAAAATTTATCCTAATGTATACATTAGAAAACAGGAAGCTCTCAAATAAATAATCTAAACTCCCACCTTAAGAAACTAGACAAAAGCTGGACATGGTGGCTGGTGAGCACTTTTAGTTCTAGCTACTCAGGAGGCTGAGGTGGGAGAATTGCTTGAGCCCAGGAGTTCAAGGCTACAGTGAACTATGATCACATTACTGTGACAGAGTGAGATCCTGTCTCTAAAAAAAGAAGATAGTGAAAAAAATAGAAACTAGAAAAAGACGACAAAATAAACACAAAGCAAATAGAAGGAAGGAAATAACTAAGGTATGAGCAAAAATCAATGAAACAGAAAAAAAAACATTTACTTTAGCTTCCCCAAAATTAAACACTTAGGTATAAATTTAGTGAAATAGGCACAAGGTCTGCATGAAGAAAACTACAAAACTCTGATAAAAGAAATCAAAGATCTAAATAAATGGAGAGATATTCCATGGAGATGGATAGAACAACTCAATTATATCAAGATTTCAGTTCTTTCCAATTGATCTATAGATTCAATTCAATTCCAATCAAAACCCAGAAGTTACTTTTCTTCTATGGATTGTGCTTTTTATTACCATTTCTAAGAATTCTTCACTAATCCTGAAGCCCCAAAGATTCTCCTCTATGCCTTCTTCTAAAAGTTTTAAAGTTTTATTTTTTATATTTAAATCTATGATGCATTTTGAGTTCATTTTTGTATAAGGTGTGAGATTTAGAACAAGGTCCATTTTTGTTTTCCTATGAATATCCAATTGCTCCAGCATTGTTTCTTGAAAAAACTGCACTTCCCCTATTAAATTCTTTTTGCACCTTTGTCAAAAGTCAGCTAAGCTGGTCATACTTGTGTAAGACCATTTCTGGGTTCTCTATTCTGTTTCAGTGATCTGTGGCTAGCCCTCTGCCAATACCACACACTCTTGATTACAGTAAGTATATAAAAAGTCTTGAAATTAGGTAGATACATTCTTTCCACCTTATTCTTTTTTATTCGATACTGTTTTAGCCATACTCACTCATTTTCTTTCCATGTGAATTTTAGAATTATCTCATATGTATCTACAAAAATCTTGCTGGAATTTGATAAAAATTATGTTAAACAATGTTTAATGTAATGTGATCATAGCTCACTGCAGCCTTGAACTCCTGGGTTCAAGAAATCCTCCCACCTCAGCCTCCCGAATATATGCAACTACAGGTGCTCACTAGCCACCAGGGCCATGTTAAACTGTGTTTAACAATTAGATGTTTGTCAAGTTTACCAATCTTTTCAGTGAACCCATTTTTTATTATTTTAAATTAATATCCTTTTTTTGAGCAGTGTTAAGTTTGTGCTGCAAAAGACTAATAGGATAAAAATTCAAGCTACAGACTGGGAGAAAATATTTGCAAACCACATATATTACATAGAATTCATATTTAGAATATATAAAGAACTTCTCAAAACTCAACATGAAAATGAAACAAGAACTTCAATTAGAAAATGAAGAGACATTTCATTGAAAAGGATGGCAAATATAGGGATGATAAATAAGCACATGGAAAGATGGCCAACATTAAGAACTTGTTGAGCTGTTACTACACACACCTATGAGAACAGCTAAAAGTTTTTAGAAAATACTGACAATACTAAATGCTAGCAAGAATGCTAAGAAACTGGATCTCTCATGCATTGCTGATAAGAATGTAAAATGGCCCAGTTTCTCTGGAAAACAATTTGACAGATTCTTATAAAACTTAACATATAACCATATGATCCATAATTTGCATCCTTGTGCATTTATCCTAGAAAAATAGAAACTATGTCTACACAAAACCTGTAAATTACTGTTCACAATGGCTTTATATGTAATAAGCAAAACATCTGAAACAATGCAAGTGTCCTTCAGCAGGTAAATGGTTAAACGAACATGGGTAAATATATATCATGGAATACTGCTTAGCAATAAAAACGAATGGGCTCGATACACACAACTTGAATGAATCTCCAGGGAATGATGCTGAATTGAAAAAGTTGATTTCAAAAGGTCACATGCTGCATGATTCCATTTATATAATATTCTTGAAAAAGCACAGTTATGGAGACAGAAAACAGATTAGGGATAGTGGGAAGGAGAGGAAGAGGAATGGTGTGATAAAGGGACATAGAACTATACACACATATTGTACAGTATCAATTTCCTGTTTTTGATATTTTGCTATAATTATGTAAGATGGAAGTTGGAGAAGACGGAGTGAAGAATAAACAAGACTTATCTTTGAAACTTCCCATTACTCTAAAATGATTTCATTACAAAATGTCTTGAAAATTGGTTGTAAATTCAGTAAAATGAAATTTTACAGTGCTTGAAATGCCAAGGTAATAATATGGAGCCAAACAAAATTAACAGAGGGCACATTTTTGCATAGGAAGAGCAAGATTGGAAATAGGATATGAATTAGAGTTATAGCTATATGATGGTTCTGTTTGAAAAAGAACCAGTTTATTTTTCTTTTAAAAGATTTGGTGAATCGTTTTCTCGAGAAACAAAACAAAAACAGAAAAAAGTCATCCTCAGTAGACTACATGTTGCTAAAAAGTCTGAATATTTATATAAATACCTTCTTTCTGCTAATAAATATTTTAAAGTTAAAGCCATAACTATTAACATTTTGAGGTGATTGACATGCTAACCATCATGATTCGATCATTATAAAATCTGTACATGTATTGAAACCTCACACTGTCAAACTGTACCCCATAACCAGGTACAATTATTATTTGTCAGTTATAAATAAAATAAGTTATAAAAATATAAAACACAATTATTTTTATTTTAGCGTATTGACATAAAAGTTTTTACCTTTCTGTGTACCCATTTATTCCTTTAAATCATATTTTATGCAGCATTCATTCATTATTTTACTGGCTAGAACTGCTAAGTTTTCTATGTTTACAAAAATTCCTCCTATATTTCTCTTATAAAGACTTGGATTGGGAATCGAAGAAGGAAATATCGTTTAATGGGGATTGAAGTTCCACCTCCAAGAGGAGGCCCTGCTGATTTCTCTGAGCAGCCTGAGTCTGGTTCTTTATCTGCACTCACACCAGGAGAGGAAGCTGGGCCTGAAGTAGGAGAGGATAATGACAGAAATGATGAAGTATCCATCTGTTTGTCTGAAGGAAGCTCTCAAGGTACTTTATATGCTGAATCTTCTAATAATAGCCTTTGTAAATTTGATGCATTTTGTACTTGATTTTCAGTTTACTGCATTTCAAGTCTAGAGTCTTCAAAACATTTGGCCAAGTATTTGAAACAATAGATTTATTTTTAATGCCTCCACCTAAACAGTCTCCTGCATCATCATCACAAGGAAAATTCATCAACAACAATAATAATCTCCTACATTTATAAATGTTGATTATTACAATTCATGCATTATAATTAAGTAAATGATTTTTATTTTATTGGAATTCTAGTCAATTTAGGTCAGAGCAGTATAAACACACTGTAATGAAAGAGTATGGCATAATGCGACAAATACCAGGCTAGTACTCAGGAAATGTGGATGCAACTCCTAGCTTTTCATGCGACTTCTCATGAGACTTTCATGCAAAGTATTTAATTGGGCTTTAGTTTCCTCATCTGCTAAAGAGAATTAGTCTGGATTATCTTTATGATATCTCTTAATTTTTCTCTAAAAAATAATTAAAATAATATTATGTAATGATACTATCTGTCCATGAGAAGTATGTTTCATTTGTCCTCAAGCATAGATAGGATTCTCTTTTGACATATTTTTATTAACACTTTTATTGAGATTTAATTTACACGTCATAAAATTCATCCATTGTAAGGCCAGGTGAGGTGACTAATGCCTCTAATCTCAGCACTTTGGGAGACTGTTGTGAAATGATTGCTTGAACTCAGGAGTTCGAAATCAGCCAGGGCAACATAATGAGACCTCATCTCTACAAAAAGTGTTTTTTGTTTGCTTGTTTGTTTTGTTGTTGTTGATTTGTTGTTGTTGTTGCTGTTTTAGTTAGCTACAGTCCCATCTACTCAGGAGTCTAAGGTGAGAGGATCACTTGAGCCCTGGAGTTTGAGGCTGCAGTGAGCTCAAGTAATTGTGTCACTGTACTCCAACCTAGGTGACAGAGTGACACCCTGTCTCAAAATAAAATCATTCATTTTAAATATAGAATTCAATGATTTTTAGTAAATTTTATGCAGTTGTACAACCATCACCATCACTGAAATCTGAATTTATATCAGTTTCATCTCTCCAATAAGTCCCTTGAGCCCATTTGCAGTCACTCCCTCTTCCCACTCTCAACTTCAGGAAGCCACTGATCTGCTTTATGACGATATAAATTTGTCTTTTCTGGGCATTTTCTATAAATTGAATCGTGCAATATATAGGCTTTTTGTATCTGTGATTAAGAAACAAAGAGGGTCATGCCTTTTCTCATTTTGCTTTTGTTTTCATTGAACTCTGTTTAGAATACTTACAATATATTTTCCAGTGTATTGTTTGCCTTTTAATTTTGCTTATGATGTTTTCTGATGTCAGATTTTCTTTTGTAATTTTTAAGTTTTCAAATCTACCCGTACTTTCCTTTATGGTTTCTGACCTTGGGTCATGATTACAGTCTTTCCTTATACTACAATTATGTAAATATACCCCCACATTTGCCTCTAGTATCCTTATAGTTTAATTTGTACAACTTGATATTTATTTCACCTAGAATTAATTTTGCTTTAAGATGTATGAATACATCCAATTTTATTTTTCCAAATGGTTAACTAATTGTCCCTACACCATTTGTTGAATAACTCATCTTTTACCAGTGAGTTGGAATGTAGCTTTTTATTAAATACACACACACACTCTCTCTCTCTCTCACACACACACACACACACATGCACACACATATACACACATGCAGACGTACACATATACACATGTGGGTCAAATCTGAGACTGCTTATTGTTACACTGATTTGACAGTTTACAACTTTGGCTTTATAAAATGTCTTAATAGCTGGTAGGGCCCTCATTCTTCTTTGCTTTGTAGTATATTGATTCTTGAATTGTTTAGTCATACAATTTGAACTGTTTAAGCATACCTTTTCCAAATCTCCTTCCCCAACATCCATTCAAGATTTTTCTTGGCATTGTATTAAATTTATAGAATACTGTAGGAAGATGAATTCAGCTTTGCACGTATTGAATTTTAGATAGTGGTTGGACATCCATGTAGAGCTGTCCAAGCAGGCCTTTGGATGATATGAGTCTGAAACTCAGATGAGTGCTTAAGACATAAAAAGAAATATGGAAGTCACCCACATTGAGGCAAAAAATATCTAGCCATGAAGATTGAAGATTTAGTTAAGTGAGAAAATGAAAAACAAGAAAGGACAATGGACAAAGACTGTGTATTGATAAATATCCAGATTTGGGCATTGGAGGAGAAAAGGGAGCCCTTGAAAGAACATTCAGAAACAGAAGAAGCAGGACAGTATGCTTTTCCTAAAATCAAGGAAAGAGTCGGGTGCAGTGGCATGCCTGTAGTCTCAGCTACTTGGAAAGCTGAGGCGAAAAGGATCCCTTGAAGTTGGGAGTTTGAAGCTTCAGTGTGTTCTGATTGCACCTGTGAATAGCCACTGTACTCCAGCCTCAGCAACGTAGTGACTTCTGTCTCTAAAATTAAGAAAAAAAAAAAAACAAATAAGGAGATTTCAGAAGGAAGAGGCGTCATTATTTCAGTAGTCTCGTGGTCTCATAGAAGTTAAGTAGAAAAAGGGATGAGAAAGCCATTGAATTTGGTGTTTTAGAAATTCTTTAAAAAAGCAATTAACTGCATGGGGAGAGGAGAGGCAAGCAGATTGCAGTAGGTTGAGTAATGAAAGGGAAAGCAAAGCTACTAGTATTAAGAGGGCCATGCATGTTAAGATCAGGTATTTGAAATGTTATCTATGTGAATATTCAAGTTTCTCTCTCTCTCTCTTTCTTAACATTTGTTATTCATATTGAAGATGATAACAGAGAATTAAGTGTACAGGGAAATAGTGAGGCAGATTTTAAAATTATCAAGAAAAAAAGAAATATTGCACCATTTCCAAGCCCTTTATTTCTAATATAGTTGGTCCTTTAAACCATTTCTGTCATTGGTTAGTGTTTACTAAATTGCATATGCCTGGAGATACTTGGATATTCCCAGTGACTCATGACTGGTGTTTTAGAGCCTGCTGAGTGGTGACTAGCTGAAGGAGAGTGGGGAAGTAGGGATTTGTGTGTTTCTGTGGTTGAGTGGGTGAGCTGAGAGAAAATATTCAGAGAAAGTACAGAAGACCCTAAGTGAAGTTTCGTTTCCCAACTCCCACTTCTCCACCTAAAAGATAATTTTAGAAAATAAGTAGTTGAAGGAAAAAAAGTGAAAGTTAATTTTAAAGACCACTTAATGGTCCACTCTTAATGGACCACTGCTCCTACACTGACATTCTTTGTCATGGTGTGTTCTTTAAATAGCTGGCATAGTAATCAAGACACAATGAGAAAAAGAAGAAAGAGAATTTAATGCATGAATCAAAAAACACTTGATCAGAAGTGTGATTGCCTAGAATTTTTTATCGGTGGCTTATCTTTCCACAGCTGCATGGTAACCTTTTCATTCTCACAGAAATTGCAACAGAAAAGCATAAAATCATTTTCAAATACTGAAAACAGCCCTTTTTGGTACAGTTTCCTACTAGTTATGTCCTATTCTCTTCCTCATTTTGCTAGTGGAGAATACTAATACGATTCGTTTGATTAAGTGAATCATATCATCTGGCCTAAATTAATATCATGCCTTTAAAATATGCTAACCATTTTCCTTCCAGTTTATGAAAATGTATTTAAATATATTTCTACTTTGAAATTTCCATTAATTACATCTAAGAAATATAAAGAAAAAATAATCTTTAGATTATTCTAAAATTAGCTGCCCATAGTATTTCAAAAACCTAACAACTGAAATTCAGACTGCTTATAATAGGGCTACTGATTCAGTAGCATTATCTAAGAAGGGAAAGATATCTTTAAGTTAGGGTTACATATTACATATTAAAAATCAATTGAAAATCACATTAAAATATTCTAGAAAAATCTGTATAAGCAAAAATTAAGATTTTTTTAAAATTCAGTAAAAGGCAGCTTTAGTAAGAGTCAAAAAAAGTGCTGCTGGTCTTTTAGCAGTTTCAGTTCCACTCATTTGTTTCTGAGAGGGTAGATACTTCCCTAATACAGAACTTCTGACTTACCTCTAACTTCCACCTTCCACCTCCCACCTTCCCTTTCCCATTTCCTTTCCCTTTCCCTGTGTGGTGATGAAGAGAAAAGAAGTGTGGTTAGGAAAGATAAAAAACAAAAACAAAAACAAATAAACCTACCTGAGCTCACCCCTCCCACAACTGCAAACTGTAGCAAAAGTAATAGCTAGATGGCTGAGCTCCTTAATTTCTGTATCTACAATTAATATACAGTGAAAAATAAATTTATGTTTGAACAACTTTAAAGATTTTTACTATCCTGAGAACCAAAATTTTTAAAGATGAGAACAATTAACATCTATGTCATTAAATTTTACATCACAGCCTCTTTTTTCAGCTGTATCTATTATATGGGTATGCACGTGAAAGATAATTATACAGTTACTTAGTGGGAGTACATACAGCCACCACATAGGGCGCCCTCTAGAGTTTTTACTGGGTAATTATTCCACTTTATTATCCAATTAGCAGAGCTGCTTTTCTTGGGGAATTACCAGGCACGTAGATAGTGTTTAGATTTCAAACATTCACAAATATTGAAGCTTCTGTAAGCGAAAGAAAACATTCCTTATTCAACTGTATCACTTCACATCCTTTTATTTTAGAAATCCTCAATATAGTTTTAATTTTAATCTTCCAAAATAATCAAACCATGTACAAAATATGTTGCCAGTAAAGGAGAACTGTGTACAAAGTTATGAGAAAAGGAGAATAGGAATATAAGGCAAACCTTTAAAGAATGTTACCTTGTTGATAAGCAATATAAACTCTCTTCTGAGGCCACTAGTGCTAATACTGGCTGATGACACTTTTTCCCTTCCTTCATTACATTTTGTTGCTGATTACATAGGAATTGAAATGTCTGTGATTTGAAATGTCTAAATAATGAGTAGGTAAAGGCTCCTCTGTCTATGAACCGTTCTTTAAAAAAATTAAATTGACCTGTTTTTAAGATTCCACATATAAGTGAGATCATGCAATATTTTCCTTTCTGTGTTCAGTTATTTCACTCAGCATAATGTCCTGCAGGTCTGCTTCAGTTTGTTCCAGCACTGCTATAAGGAAATACCTGAGACTGGGTAATTTATAAAGAAAAGAGATTTAATTGGCTCACAGTTCTGCAGGCTGTAAAGGAAGCATGTTGCTGGCTTCTTCTCAGGGAGGCCTCAGGAATTTACAATAATGGCAGAAGGTGAAAGGGAAGCAGGCAGGTCTTACATGGCTGGAACAGGAAGAAGAGGGATGGGGTGCTACACACTTTCAACACCAGATCTCTTGAGAACTCACTCACTCTTACAAGAACAGCATCAAAAGGGAAATCTACCCCCATGATCCAATCACCTCCCACCAGGCTCCAACTGCAACATTGGGGATTGCAATTTGACATGAGTTTTGGGAGGGGACACAGACATAAACCATATCAGGGTCTATCCATGTTGTGGCAAATGGCAGGGGAGAAAAACAGTCAAATATAAACAGATAGAGAAAAAAAAGAGGTTACCAGGATCAGAGTAGGAGGGAGAGGAAATAGGGAAATGCAGGTCAAATGATAAAAAGTAGCAAATATGTAGTATGAACAAGTCAAAAGATCTAATATGCAACATGAGGATTACTATTAATAAGTGTACTCTATTCAGGATTTTTGCTAAAGGAGTATATTATAGCTGCTCGTGGGTGGGGATGGATAACTATGTGAGATAATGGATATGTTAATTTGTTTCATTATAGAAACAATTTATATATGTGTGTGTGTGTATAACATTATGTTGTATATCTCAAATATACCCCCCAAAATTTAATTTTTAAAAAATATAGCAGAGGAGACAAAAACATTTAAATTGTGTTTATAGTGGACTTTGCATCAAAATTCTGGTAAGATTTTCCTGAATATCTTAAACTTGAATTCTCTATATGGTCATATGTGAGTTCCTGGATCGACCACATTTTCCTCTTAATAATTCCCCCATGCTCATACGAGGCACCCCTATATTTCTTTCCATGAAAAGGAATAGACTTCGAAAAATTCGTGAGGGCTGATAAATATTTTTGTTCTGCTTCCTAAGGTGAAGTAAAATGTCAGTTACCATGAGATCGCGAAATTCTACTAGTATTTATTCAAATAATCTCCATGATATGGCTGTGCCAAAAGAAGAGATAAAGAGAGAGAGAGGAACATTGCTACCTTGTTTTTTTAAGGGGCTGGTGGAGGGTAATCTAAAACAGAAGGGATTATACATGCAGACACCCTGTGCCTTGAACCGACCAGTTCCCCTAGCTCAGCCTGGAGAGTTTTTTAGTAGTCTGGTTTCTCTGAATTAATTTATTTCTTTCACTTATTTTCTCGTTTTTAGAATATTGAATTTTGATCAGAAAAGGGATACATGTTCATTTTAGAAAGTACTGGGAAATACAATAAAAATAGAAACAATCCTATTCCTCAGTGATAACCCTTCTGAAAATAAGGATAAGAGGATATTTTTGCCACCATTTTCTCTTAGCATATATACAGGAGTGTGTCTGTGTGTGTTTGTACACACATACATTCACAAAACTGGAAATACTCTGGATTTATGGTTTTATATCATAGATTTGAAAATTATTTTATGACTTTTTTCTTATTTGAATGAGAAACAAATGTTCATTGTAGAAAAATATTTAAACACAAATAAGCAAAAAGAAAACAGAAAAATTAAAAATCACTCATAATTCCATCTAGAAATACTAATGACAATGTCTTTGTGGAAACAGTCCTAGTGTGTCTCCATGAAAATTTACATATTTGCATAATAAATTTATTTAAATTTTATAGTGAAGTTTATATATTTTAAAATAAAATTAATGTTATATGTATCCACACAATAGATTTTGTTACCTTCATTTTTTCACTTGCCAGTAAACCATGAATATTTCCTTATAACTACTGTTCTTCTATTTCAATTTTAGCGGCTTCATAATATTTATTATAGAGATAGATTCTAAATTTCTCTATTCCTCCATTGTTAAGGATACAGTTTTTGTCCGTTTTTTCAGTTACAAATAGGACAACGGTGACCATCCTTGTATTTGCCCCCATCCCTACTTATTTCCTTTGAATGCATTGTTTGAAGTAGAATTGCTCATCAAACGTGTGAAATGAATTTGCCATTTGTGTCTTTTTATAATAGAGAAATTATTTAAATGACCTTGAAAATAGTATTCTCAAGAAAGTTTTGCGAAATGAAAATGAAATTATGGCATTTTTTTCTGTAGAAGAGCCCAATGAAGTTGTTCCGAATGATGCAAGGGCTCATAAGGAAGAGGACCACCATGCAGTAACCACAGATAATGTGGTATGTACAGTTTGAAATTCTTTTCTCATTACATGGTTGATTTCAAGCCCAAGTATCCAGTTGGTGAAAATATTCTCATTTTCAGAATAAAGTCTTGCTCCACTTCACAAACCAAAACAGACCTCTTTCCAATGAAATTACATATCTTTGATGGCTTAGTAAGTAAAATTTAAAATGTTGTCATTTGTATCACTAATTTTTTGATTGAGGAGATGTGCAAATATAAAAACCCAATACTTGGTATGTATATGATATTTTACATATAACAAGCTATTTTTCTTCAACACAGTTAGCAAAGAGCAGATTTCTACCTATTTGATGGATGGCAGAATTAAAACAGAGTTTAGCATGAGATCGTGAAGGAAAACTTTGTTAGTTGTGGCACATGTATGCAAGAATTTCCGACTCTGAGTTCTCTATTCAGAACATACCTATTGATGGTGTGTTTGGAACTTTTTTCCTCCTATTAATAGTTAAATTGTACTCTGGTTACTCATCTTAAAAATCACAATATAGAAAGAAAGACAGTATTAAATGTTTGAATAGCAAATAGAAGCAGGTTGTGTGTGGAGTAAACTGGGTTTTGTGAAAATGTAAACATATAGTGATGCTCCCTATGCAGCTGTTTTAGCAACATCTGTTTATATTCTGCCCTATCAAGTAACCCTATAATCAAGATGGTATTAAGAGTCAGATATAAAGGGGAATGTCATTGTCCTTTTGTTTTTGCTTTTGAATCAACGTTCTGTGTTTGATTGCAGCCACTAAAAAATAGCCTCTTAATTGATTTTTTTGTTGTTGTTACAAAAGGGCTGTGACTTTAGGGTTTCCCTTGACTTTCATTAGAAGCATTACTTATTTCACACTGTAGTCCTGCCACATGTCTTTAATAAAAGTTGAGCGCATAAAATAGTTTTGCTATTTTTTTGTTAAATAACAGTAATATATAACAGTGTTTTCTACAAGCAGAATATAGTTTAGGATTGTATTTTACTGATTTGAGTCCTGGTTGAAGTCAATGCTTGACCCTTCTAACACTAAGTTTAACAAGCATACAGGAAAACAGCTTTGATTGTGAGGCAAAGTCGTGTTTTTGTTAGATAGCTACTAGTAATTGTTTTCGATGGTTATGAATTGTGCTCATCTTAAATTCCACCAACTAATAATCTGCTACAGATTTGAGTTTTAGTGTGCAAGTTATGTACAATTTACAAATTGAAACATCTTTCCCTTTAAAGACATGCTCATTTGTAGCCTGAATTTCTCTGCGTTGAATCTCCTTTGCAGCAGATATTTGGAGATAATGAATGAAGCCATGGCATGGGATGACTCACAGTCATTTAGGCACCTAATTTTTCAAAAAGCAATTGATTTTTTAGAAACAAAATGCCACACTTTCAAAGGCTAATCTCCTCTGCCTGTAACTTTTGAGTGCTCCCAATTATTCATGGATAACAAATCAAACAGACATATAAGACCTATTTAAATGCACACATCTCTACGGTGGCCTTTGGTGCATCCCTCCCTGAATTGCCTAGCTCCTTTTTGCCAGAGCCAATCCAAATATGTAGAGAATCTGAAAAACATCAAAAAATATCAAATCTGAGGTCTTGGAAGAGCTGGCATGATGAAGCCCCAATTTTATAGAGATTAGAATAGAAAACAAAATATTGGATTCATCTCCAGGCAGCAGTAGAAAGTAATTTCACTGCAGCTGTTTTCCTGACTCAAAAGCCTGCAGGTCACAAACCCTGTAATAGTATCATATCCTCATACGCAATATATTAAATATAATCATTCCAAGTTAATTTGTGACTTTTAATCACCATATGTAAATATGTATGTATGTGTGTTCATATATGTATATACGTGTGTGTATACACACACACACACACACACATACAGAGTAGGAAGCCTGATTTCAAATTCTGCCTACAACATGTTGCTATTTATGTGCTTGTTCTTAAAAGACCGTCTAGTGACTGAATATAGCTTAGTTTTTCCTCTTTAAAAATTTTCTTTGGGTTGGCAGGGTTTAAATATTTAAAGGAGTTTTTTCTTGACTGTGTTTTTTACATGTGAAAGAAAAATTAGAGCTGATTTTACTTATACCTTTTTTTTTTTTTTTGCTTTTTTTTTAAAAAAATCACATGATTAGAGAACTTGCCCCCTCATGGTTGGAGCTAATTGGTCATTTTTTTTTCATCAACGCTGAACTGTTTTGTTCATTCTTTCTACAGATATTTAATTAGTGTTAGTACCTACTGTGGACAAGATATTGTACAAGCTATGCTATGCCTTTTTTTAAAAGCTAAAGATAATTTAATCTGTCTCTCTCCTTTCTCTTTCTCCCTTTTCCTCTCTCTCCACCTCCTCATCCTGGCTGTTACTCTTCAGTGAAGGAAACAAATCATCATGCTATTTTTATCATTACATCATAGATGCCTGCTTTTAATTAGTTGTCAAGCTAAAGTTGTGCAGTGTGCAGTAAATATTGGAATTTTTAAAAATTGTGTTTGATTTTGGAATATGTCATATGCTGACATTTTACATTAGAAGTCACAAAGAGGCATGTGGAAACTTAAAAAAGAAAGCTATTCCTATCAATTGTATGTTTACTCGCATTAAAATAGACCACCATTACAGGAAGTAAATTTCCTGTCCCTGGAGGGTGCTGTTTAAGCAGTTCGCCTGCTTTGTTAGGGATATTGTAGAAAGACATTTTCTATTTTAAATAGTATTAATTTTTTTATTTAACAAGCAGTCATCAGTTAAAGGTAGAGGGAGGTGGCTCAGACACACACTATATGTAACACTGAGGAGCCAGTCAGTTATCAGAATTTATTCCAGATAACCTAGACTAGATAACCTAAACATTGAATGCATATTTTCTATGCATTGCTGAGTGTAGTAAGAATGATGTGATATATATTTGTAACTTCTCTACTTGTGTTACAGAAAATAGAAATTATTGATGATGAAGAAAGTGACATGATAAGTAATTCTGAAGTAGAACAAGTAAACTCTTTCTTGGATTATAAGGTAGGTAATTTTAAATTATGAATTTATTAAGAGAAGGTATTAAATGAGGCAGAATTTTACAATACCTATATTACTCCTATTTAATAAGTTAAGCATTCTAAGGCTCTGCATTAATTCTTTCTGGCTACTTGAATATCAGTCAGAGTGCTGGTTATTTTAATTATTGCTGTCGGGTTTAGGGGTTATGATCTTAGGCAAAGAGTTTGCTGAGTGGAGTAAGTATTGATGGTATATGGCAGGATGGAGGCAGTACTTGGTCATGGCCAACATGAAATGTATGACAAAGCTTTTATAAAGCCAATGTTCATTTTTAAATGATAGTAAAAGGGATTTCTTTTTCCAGTGGACTTTGCTAATTTTATCCTAAATTTTTACTTCTTCTGTGGACAATTTTTAAAAATATGATAATACAGCTGTTATAGGAGAAGTTTGCAAACAATTTCCAAAGCAAATACAGAATGAATATGAATACAGATGACCTTTTCTTAATGTCATTTATTACTAAATTGAAAAGCTGCCTTTGACAGGGTGCTATACATATTATTTTATTAAATATGTATATAAGATATCAGTCTGTATGTCAATATGTTTTCTGCATAGATTTATAAAAGCTGTCCCTTTGATAATCATTATCCTATCTTACTAGGTAACTTTGGGAACTTCTGAAATTTTGGCCACACAGTCCTTTTCATACACAAAAGTTCTTGTTATGGAATGTCATTAGTGTTCAAAGCAGAGATTAGTAATGTTAAAATGTTAACAGAAAATAACATTTAATCAGAAAATATAACAGCTGTCATTTCCTCAAAAATCTTTTCAGTTTTACCATAATTGAAATGTATGCCATCCAACAGATTCTGTTTTCCAAATATTCATAACATGTCAAGCTTTAAAATATTGAATATTGTAAACACAGAAGGAAAATATCTTTTGAAACGTATTTCCTAGATGGTCAAAGAACATGATGAAATCCTATATTTTGACTGTATTTTCAACTAACAGAATTATAAGTTTGTTGGTTCTGAAATACAAGAGATTACGATAATCTCTCCTACATGGTCATATAATATTTCTAAATGCCCAGTTCAGGATTTCAATGTCTCTGCATGCCACAGCTTGGCACAGGTTGTGGAAACTACAGACGAAAGGACTAGATTGCACAGCTGTTAAGAGTGCTCCTCTTAGCACTCTCAAATATGTCAAAGAGGGTTGGGCCCAGGACTCAGAGGATTCTTTCCAAGACCTCTCCCCTCTTGGGTGGCAGTCTCCTTGAAAAGGTTTGGCGCTAAAAACCAGAGGAGGGCAGGGCAGAGTGTCTAGTCCAGAAATGTTTGTTAATATTTTCACCGAACTCTCAAGAGCATTGTATTAATCCAGTGTTTTCCATTGTAATAAATTCTGTGGAAACAAAGGGGTCATTCACTACCCCATTAGGGATTTTTTAAATATGTTTTATGTAAGTGTCTCAGGCTTGGCAGTTCCATAAAGTTCTTTTTTTAATCCTCAAAATTCAGCACTTATATAGAAAATATATCTTTTTGTAATCATGATTTTAAAATTTTTCAACTCACCTCACATGAACTTTGTTACTTCTAAGGGAAAGGTAAGCAAAACCTCATATAGCAGTTCTTGTTACTGATTTCAGGATGTTGGTTTTAAAAAGCTCTACCAGTTTAGTAATTTATCTGTCTTCAGAGAAAATGTTGTACCCTAGTTATATACACATACTAGTGTTTCTTGTTTGGGGATGAAAACCACATTGTTGATATCTTAAGTACCATTATGCATCACTTAATGATGGGGATAAATTCTGAGAAATGCATTGTTAGGCAATTTTGTCATTGTGCAAAACATCATAGAGTGTACTTACACAAACCTAGATGTATATAGCCTACTACATACCTAGGGTATATGGTATAGCCTATTGCTTCTAGGCTACAAACCTGTACAGCATGTCACTGTATTGAATACTGTAGGCAATTGGAACACAAATAAGTATTGTGTATCTATCCATAGAAAAGTTAATGCATTGTACTATGATGTTATGATGGCTACAACATCACTAGGTGATAGAAATTTTTCAGCTCCATTATAATTTTATGGGATGACTGTCATTATATGTGGCACATTGTTGACTGAAACGTTGTTATACAACACATGATGATATATTCATCCTAAACCTCCTGTGAGAAGAGACTTATTTTATTCACCTATGTGTTACCTGGTTGAGAGCCTGTCATATAATTGTTCAACTGTAACTATAGTTACAGTAGTTGCTGAGTGAGTGAACAAATGACTTAATTTATCTTTGGAAATAATTTTAAAACTATTATGCAAGTACTCATTTATATAAAATCAGGAGCTGGATCATTGTATTTTTCCCCTACACTGAATTATACAGTCTCTCATTCTTGAGATTTCATGTGGCAAACTGAAAGAATGTTTCCAATGGTGCATTTGATAATTATTACTATGCAACCATCCATACTCATTTTGGTCATAGTGGAGTTTTTGACTGAGATACATCACTAGAAATCCATGTTCTTAGGAATTCTAAATAACACAAAATGTTTATGAGACACTTTGATGGGCTCAGTACCTGAGGCAAGAGTAACTGCATCATAAAATAGCACCTCAGACTTGGCAGTCATTAATAGCTTGCTCAGAGATCAAAGCTCTGGTCAATGTGGAAACTGGAGTTCTCCTTACTATCATCTTGACGAAGAACTAACAAAGTTTACTCAAAATGTAGGTAGGGTTTTAACAACAATAAAAATAAGATAGATCTTGTTTTATGATATTCAGTAACTGATGTTATGATACTAGTTCCTCTCACAAGCATTGATTTACTTAGAAAATCTTGAAAGTATACATAAATTACTGCCTGTTATCTAGGAAGTATTTAATAGGCTTGCAAAGCAGCTCTGTGAAGAAAATGTCTGCAATATTAAATTATCTTAAAGCTGTTTATATTTTTCAAACATTGCATAAATACTGAGGAGGAGAAATATTTGCATGAAGAATTAGAAGTCTGCATACCAAAAGATGCTTCATGACTTTTGCAAATGTGAATCAATGTTTCCTAATACACTTGAATGCAGCTAAGAAGGACTGTGCATTCAAACCAGATACTACTATAATGATAACGTATATCTCTTGTATTAGAAACGACTTCCTGGTCAGCACTTTACTAATACTACTGCTCCAACAATGAATACTAATAAAGCAAAGGCCTAAATTTAGTAAAATATATTATGACAGGAGCATGTTCAGGTAAAAAAAGTTTTTAACTAAGCTGATAAAATAAATGATATAGTAAACATGTTAATAGATTGAATATGATAAATACTACACCATCCTCTCAATTGAAACAACAAAAATATCCATGTAACCAATTAATTTTAATATACTTTAATTTGGTTTTTTGAACAAATGCTCTTAAAAGTCCTGCTATGATTTTGAGACCAGTTTGCCAGATGCAAAGAATAGTCATAGGCTACTTCCATGTTTTTTGAAATGGTAACTGGCTGATTATTTTTTTAGAATAATTTTTACTTTTTAATGGTAAACTGACAAGTAAGAGTTGTGTATATTTATAGGGTACAAAATGCTGTTATGATTTATGAATACCAAGTGGATTAATTAAATCAAACGACATAACATATCCACCACCACAGATACCATATTTTGTGGTGAAAACATTTCAAATTTTCTCATAGTGATTTTGAAATGTACAATATATTATTATTATTTACCATATTCACCATTCATACAATTCAGCATATAAAAATACTTTGTTGTTTGAAAAAACATGGAGAGAATTGGAGAACATTATGCTAAATGAAATAAGCCATTAACAAAAAGACTCCCATCACGTTCTCACTTAATGTGCGCAATCAAAAACAATCAAATTCAAACAAGCAGAGAGTAGAATGGTGGTTACCAAGGGCTTGTGGGAGGCTGGGAAATAAGGGAATGATGGTCAGAGGATACAAAGTGTCAGTTAGACAGAAGGAAGAGGTTTTATTTCCCCCCTTTGGGATAGACTTTATTTTTAATCAGGTTACTTGATGCATAATTTTCATACAATAAAATTCATCTTCTTAAGTATACAGTTAAATGAGTTTTGACAGGTGGACATAGTTGTGTAAACACCACCATAATTTGTTTATTCACCTGCTAATGAAGTCTTGAACGCCTTCTGGTTTGGGACTATTATAAATAAACCTGCTATGAATATTGATGTATAAGTCTTTTAATGACATGTGTTTTCATTTATCTTGGGTAAATACCTCAAGTAGGATTGCTGAGTCTTACGTTAAGAAAGATTATGTTGAATTTCATAAGAAACTGCCAAAATATTTTCCAAAGTAGCTGTACCATTTTACACTTTCACCAATAATGTATGTATTAATAAACCAAAAATAAAATTGTAAGACCCTCAACCATCTGAATGAACCCCCCCTCTTGGCCAAAGGCATTTCAAAGTTAACCTGAAAAATTAGTTCAGGCCATGATGGGAAGGGCGAGCTGGCCATGCCTCATTATATCTTCCTCCCGTTTGGAATCACTGATAAAACAGATTCTTTAAGTCTGATAAGAAACACTTACAATCTATTCTCTCTGAAGCCTACTACCTGGAGCCTTCATCTGCAAGATAAAACCTTGGTCTCCACAACCCCTAATCATAACTCAGACATTCCTTTCTGTTGATAACTCTTTCATGCAATTTACAATGAGAAAATCTTTGAATCTGTGTTTGACCTGGAAGCCTCTGCTTCCAGTTGTCCCCCCTTTCTGAACCAAACCAATGTACAATTTACAAATATAGATTTATGCCTTGTGTCTTTCTAAAATGTATAAAATCAAGTGGTGGCCCAACCACCTTGGGCACATTTCTCAAGATCTCCTGAGGGTTGTGTTACAGGCCATTGGTCACTCATATTTGGCTCAGAATCAATCTCTTCAAGGATTTTATAGAGGTTGACACGTTTTGTCAACATGTATGAGACTTCTAATTGCTCCACATTCTTGTCAGCACTTGGTACTGTCAATCTCTTTAACTATTGTAATATGTCAGTAGTAGTATCTCTTTGGGGTTTTAATCTGTATTTCTTTAAGAACAAATGATATTAAGCATATTTTGACGTGCTTATTGGTCATTCAGATACCTTATTTGATGAAGAGTGTGTTCAAATATTTTGCTTTTTACTTTGTTGCTCATCTCATAATTGAGTTGTAACAGTTCTTCATGTATTCTGAATCCAAGTCCTTTGTCAGATGTATGGTTTGAAAATATTTTCTCCCAATATGTGGTTTTATTTTTATTTTCTTTACAATATATTTTAAAGAGCAAAGTTGTTTTTTGTATCATTTTGTTTTGTTTGTTGACATAGGGTCTCACTGTCACCCAAGCTGAAGTGCAGTGGTATGATCATGGCTCACCACAACCTCAAACTCTTGGGCTCAAGCAGTCCTCTTGCTTCAGCCTCCTGAATAGCTGGGACTATAGCTGCATGCCACCACACCATACCATGTCAGGCTATATATATATATTTTTTTGGTAGAGACAGGGTTTTGCTATGTTGCCCAGGCTGGTTTAAAACTCCTGACCTCATTTTATAAAATAGGTCTTTCTTGAGGCTAGGCACAATAATGCATCCCCGTAATACCAACACTTTGGGAGACTGATGTGGGAGGATCGCTTGAGACCAGGAGTTCAAGACTAGCCTGGGCAAAATAAGGAGACCCCATTTCTACAAAAAAGTTAAAAAATAATTAGCCATGGATGGTGGTGCATACCTGTAGTCTAGCTACTGAGGTGAGAGGATCCCTTGAGCACAGTAGTTCAAGGTGGCAGTGAGCTATGATTGTACCACTGCACTCCAGTATGGGCAACAGAGCAAGTCCCTGTCTCTAAATAAAAAATAAATAAATAAAATTGATTTAACTAAATAAATTAAAATAAAAGTTTTCTTTTTTTTAAAGTTCCATAATTTTTGTGTTCTATTTAAGAAACTTTTTGCCTAACCCAAGGTAACGAAGATTTTCTCCTCTGTTTTCCTCTAAAAGTTTCAGTTTTATTATGCATTTTAGTTTTAGGTCTATGATCCATGTCTTGTTACACTTTGTCTATGATGTGAGGTAAGGGCCGATAACTTTTTTTTTGCATGTGGATTTACATTTGTTTAACCACTGTTTATTGAAAGACAATACTTTTTTTATCTATTGGGTGACCTCAGCACCTTTGTTGAAAATCAATCGACCATTTTTGTGGGGATTTATTTCTGGTCTCTCTATTTTTTTCCATTGGTTGATATGTCTATCCTTATGCAATACCATCCTTTCTTGATTACTGTGGCTTTCATAGTAAATCTATTCAGAGCACTTTCATGGCCATTATCTTATTTGAGTGTTATAGCCCTCAAAGCTAGAACTGTCAGGGATTACCAGTATAATAACCATTTTACTGATGAGTAAAGAGAGTCTCCCACCTAAGTTTACAGTTATCAGTAGACCTGGCACTAGAATACTCCCAAATATTAGTCCAGTTGTTTTACCTATACGACTAGCAAAAATAGTAAAGAGTAACTGATTCTTACACCAATAGTACACAGTGGTACATTTTCAGATTTCTTGGAATAACAGACTCCTACTTAATCTGTGGAGGCTCAGCAAAAAACTTAAGACAATCTTAGTAATTTCAGGCTCTTCTTGGTGCAAATTCACCATTTAAGTTCTGAGTAGTTGGCTTTCTGAATGGCAAATTCAACATTACTGTGTCTGCTATTGCTCTTTGGGTTAATTGGACTCTATCTATTCCTAATCTTTTTTTTTTTTTTTTGAGACAGTCTCACTCTTGTTGCCCAGGCTGCAGTGCAGCAGTGCGATCTCTGCTCACTGCAACCTCTGCCCACCTCCAAGGTTCAAGTGATTCTTCTGCCTCAGCCTCCCAAGTAGCTTGGACTACAGGCACACACCACCATGCCCTACTAATTTTTGTATTTTTAGTAGAGACGGGGTTTCACCATGTTGGCCAGGCTGGTCTCAAACTTCTGACCTAAGGTGATCCACCCGCCTCGGCCTCCCAAAGTGCTGGGGTTACAGGTGTGAGCCACGCACCCAACCTTTATTCTTAATCTTAATCTGAATGCCAATTAGGCTTGATATAGGAGGGGTCTTTCCAAGAAGGGAGCTGTTTTTTGGTTTTTCTCTTACTGGAACTTATTGGATTGGTTTTTGACTTTATAAATTGTTTTCTATTAGTGATTTGCTTAAAAGGCATCCTGTGACTAACAGGATCATTTTCTTCCATGCTTTGTATTCCTTTATGTTAACATTTTGTTTTCTTTATTGTCCTTCTAATTTGATGGTTTTTTAGAATTTTATTGTGCATCAAACATGTATAGTCCTGGGTTTACATAAGGTAATTGTATCATTTGGTATTTTCTCTTTCAGAATGAAGAAGTCAAATTCATTGAAAATGAGCTCGAGATTCAAAAGCAAAAATACTTTAAACTTCAGACTTTTGTTAGAAGCTTGATATTAGCAATGAAAGCTGATGATAAGGAACAACAGCAGGTAGGTCCCAGGAAAGACTAGTAAGCTGCAATGTATCAAGTCAAAAAATGGTATGTCACACTTGGGTTCTTCATATGTTTTCATTTTAATACTTCATTTCTGCTTGGCATGGAGGAAATATTTGTTATTTCATGACCTTTGCAAACAGTTTTCTTGAGAATAGATGCTCAGATTTTGTGTGCTCCTTCAGTGGAAAATCAAAATAATTGATTAACATGCTTTTAATGTCAGGTTAGTCTTTAGGTGAGGAAAATAACTTTAAAATTAATTTCAAAGAAATTTCTGAAAATGTTGATAGAAACTAGGCTACCCTAACTAGAGAGGCACATATTTTGGGACCTTTTGTGAATGAAAGAGTTAAAGCATTTCTTTGCATCTCTTCTGGATCTTAATTTCCTGCCAACCTCCACTACAGTTCACAGATGTTTGGACATCTTCTATTCTGTAATGTGTTGCTCATCACTAAGAAAATATGAAATTACTTTGTGAAACTCTTTGTTTCCACAGTGCATCACTTACTTTTCCCAATTTAAGTATTTGAGTATTTGAATTTTTGACTCCAAAGATGAAATGTATTGTCTTTTGCATGTTGATGTGGGTTTTTGTTTACCAGTTCCTCCCAAATTATATTTTGTGTCTCATACATTCATGTGAGATCTATATAATAATTTGTTAAGCCTGCTAAAAACTATAGAATTATAATAAATGTACCATGTAATATTAAATTATACCAAATTTTCATTTGAGCTATATGACATTATGCTGATTCCTTGTCACAGTTCTATAGGAGTAGTGTGAGACATATGTAACCCTTGTTTAGGAAACAGTCTCAGAGGTTTTTATTCATCAAGGAATGTCAGGAGTACAAATATTCATCTCTTATATCAAAGAAAGACAGCATGTATATAGCCCATCTCAGACATCCCTAAGGAAAAAGATTAAAGCCATAACATTCCATAAGCCTCCCTTTTTTTCCCAAGAAATAGCCTTTATATATTTTACTGAAGTGCTGAACCACAAAATTGAAACTAATGAATTTACTCATGAGGCTCAAACCAGCATGTATATTATGTGTCAAGTTTCACGAATTTTACTCCCCATACACCCTGTCACACACACAGACATCTCAAGACAGTAGCTTTCATTTACCTTTGCCAGCTTAATTTAAGCATATTGGTTTATTATGTGAGTTATGTATATTCCACGACATACTGAAAATGTGTTTATTTTTTAGAAACCTAAAATGCAGATTTTAAATGAATAGGGGAGGTAGTTTTGAACATGGTCCCAAGAGTACTGTAAGTTTTAAATAACTGTGAATAAACAAAATTAGGTACAAGCAGAGGAATAACTTAAAGTGTGGCTCTTGTTTTGAAAGTCATAGCATGGTTGTGAATTGAGAGTTATATGGCCAAGTAACTAGCAAGTTTCTGTGCCTCTTGACATCTAGGAATAGTACACAGACCCCATTTTATTTTCTAATTCTAACTTCATTCCTGGTTTGGTTCTTTTCCCAAGACCAATAACAAATGTAATTAATGTGCATTTTTATTTTTCTCTTCCTCTTCTTTCCCTCTGATTAAAGACTAATAAATTAGTATATGGACAAAAGTTGGTTGAAAGAGAACATGATTCAAAAATTGTAGTGAACTTCATAGCCAGTATAATCAGCACCAAATAGAAACTACTAATTTGTATAATTAAGAATGAGTATAATGAATCTTAGAATATGGTCACAAAATATAGAAGACACGAATAGTAGTCCAAAAAAGTTATCTAGGTAATCGCTTAAACTACTGATCTTTACATCATGAAATATTTATAGGTTTATTTCTGGAAGGAGTTAATTTTTATTCTACCTAATAAAAGACAACCACATGTCACTGGTTTTTAATTTTAAAAAAGATCTTCAGTTTTCTTCCATTAATCTTGATTTGTGTAAGTTGAGTCAGATGTGTGGTCCACAGAATATTTTGGACCATTGAAGTAGTCCAGGGTTTACAAAATGTGATACTCTCTGACTGAAACACTAGATTACCCAAAGATTTTGTTGTTGTTGTTATTTAAATCAATAGCCACTTTAAAATCAAAGTAATATTTTCAGCATTATACTTAGTCATTTGCTATGGTCTTGCTTCCCCTGATAATTCACTGCGTGTTCCTAGCCAGATCAATTGCGTTTCTTGAACTTCAATTTCTCCACTTTGCAAGTGGGATAAGAATGATTAATACTACAGAACTTGATATTCATACCATAGGGTCTAGAATAAGTGTTATAGATCTGAGCATATGGAAAATGCTTTAATCTCTTGGGAAAAATGACCGTAGGTCAGACCCTGAGGATAGTTGTCATTTATGAAACATTTGTAATAAAGAAAGTTAATCGTATTCACGTTAGTATCTGTGAAAAAGGCAGTTCCAACAATTGTTATAATCCAAAGATTTTTTTCAGTTGCAAATCTAGTAAGATATTGAAAGAAGAATTTTAAAGTGGACCACATGTATTAGTTGTGCCCTATGCTGCCTCAGATATTAAAATTTTTATATTTTTTACTGCACTCATTTTACTCAACTACTTATAATGCAGTAACAAAGAAATAAATAATAATGCTTCTTTGATTTGTAATCTCCCCACTAGAAATTAGAAATTAGAATATCATGAAATCTTATTCTCTTGACTTTCTGACTCTAAGAACATGTTCAGTCAATGTTAATTTGAACACTTTCTCCTCTTTAATATGGCATCTTCAGAATTGCAAAGCGAGTTAAATCCAGTGATGTATGTCATATAGACTGATCAGCCAATGTCAGAAAAGACCCCATTGCACTGGGACTGGGTTAGTGGTAAAACACTTTTCTAGGAGAAAATGGCTCCGTGTCCTATTACTGCAATCTAGCCACTTAGAAAGCAGGCATTACCTTTAAGTTAGTTTACTGTGTATATACTCTCAGTTCCAGCAATAAATTAATGAGAAATTCAATTTTATAAAATAAATAATAACAGCTAGTCTGCCAGATAGGGGTTAGTCTTCCCTTACATAGCCTGATAAAAATGAGAATGTTTTGATCTTGCCCCTGTGCTACAAGGCAGGAAGTATAGGATTTGCAGCTGCCACTTATTTTAATAAAGAGAATGAGTGCATACTGTCTTATTTCAACAGTGGATTTCATATATTCTCCAACATGCCCTTTCTGTTCCTTAATTGGCTAGTGACAAGCTTTCATTTCTTCCTGTTCCCTTGGTCTTTATTTACCACTGCACCCAAAGCCCACATTACAAGTAATACTGTCTAAAAATTGCCAGATATGCTACATTATTCTTAGTATTGGAAGCAGCAAATCAATCATTAAGTTCAAAGTTCCTCATGGTCAAGTGAACATTAGCATTGTCAGCTGCGTAAAACTTGATTAATCATTTATTTCTTTAGAATGGGTGCATGTTCTACAACTTCAGATAAAACAATTAGACCATGACAAAGCTTATTTCATCATTATTGGATTATCCTTATTACTCAAGCAGAGAAATGAGTAGCCCTCCAGATACATCATTACTACAGATAGATCCACTGATTCAGCTGTGCCCTGGTGGGTGCTTGGCCATCTGTAGGTATGAACATAGCCTTAGGAAAGAAAAAATAAAATTACTTGGTCTTTTCAAGTTGTTAAAATTTAGTCTAAAGTAAAATAGCTGGAGGTTTTTCCTAACTACTAAGTTCTTTCTCCCACTGAAGAACAAAATAGTCTTTTGTTAAATGCAGTCTTCTACAAAGGACAGCATAACTGGCATGAATATTTTAACAAAGAACGCAATTTTAAATCCCTTAAACAGTGATCAATGCACACTCAAAACTAGTATGAAAATCACTAACCTCAAACACTTCAAAGCACTTGGTTCAGAAGAGTTGCTCATTTCCCTCCTAATATCCCCTTTGTACAGGTTCTACTCTACAGAATTCACACTTTCAACATCTAGAATTTTGTTACCTTCTGAATAATGTATGAAGAATTTTTCTTTTAGGTAAGGCATTGTCTAAGATCCTGAAATATAAATTATTCTTTAAATCCATAAGGATAATTCACCATGGGAGGACTACAACTATTAATATAAATTGGAAAACAATCTATCCACATACTAATCCAAAAATATTATTTTTTTTATTCAGGCACTGCTGTCAGATTTACCTCCTGAATTAGAGGAAATGGATTTCAATCATGCCTCACTGGAGCCTGATGATACCTCATTCAGTGTATCTTCTTTGTCAGAGAAAAATGTCTCAGAAAGTTTGTGATTTCAGTTGGAGGGAATATATGATACAGTCTTTTGGCTTCGTAACAGGTGTGCATTTCAAGATAACTGCATTCTGTTGCCCTGGTATTCTTTAGTTGGGAAAACACATTGTTGAAACGGACGTATTCTGTGAAGAATGTACAAGATATAATGGCTACAGTGCAACAAAAATGTAGGTGAAATTTAAAAGCATTGTTTGAGAGAGTATTTTTTTAACTGATGGAACTCTGGAAAAAAATTATATTTAAGTTTCAGCAGTTTAACCCTGAAATTCATTATGTCTAATTTCTAACCAGAGACAAAATAACTAAAGACATTTCAGCATTGCTTATCAAGTTGCTACAGCTTGATTAGTCTTGTTTTTGTAGCCATTACATCTTCTTTCTTCTTCTCTCCTTTTCCTATCATCCACTTACACTTTTTCTCAGGAAAGTGGACTGAACATTTAAAACAAAACTTTAAAAAATTATTTAACTCATTATTTAATGAGTTCTCTGATTTAGTTTTTAACCCCTATGAAAATTTGACTTAAACTAATGACTGAAAATTAAATGATTACAGGTATGTAATTGTAAATTGCTGGTGTTCTTCTATTATCTAACCCAAATATTTGTGTGGGGGTGGGGAAGCACAATGGAAAGGTAATTTAACCAACATAACGTCAAATAAATTACGAAGTGTACAGAAACAAAATGTTGTCAAAATTAGTCTTGATGGGGATTCTTCATTACTACAAATGACAAGTATTGATACGATTGACATTCCAGTAGTAAATTTGTATACCTGGGTTAGATGAAGTGTTACACAAATATTTTAAATTTATCACCATCTTTATAATTCTTTTTTAGTTCTTACATGTTATGAAACAGGAAGTCAAGGTAAGCTGCTGAGATTTTTTAAAAATTTAGTCATTCAGCTTTGCCACAAAATTTACCTCATTTCCATATGAGGCCTGTACAGAGCCATCAGCCAAGGATAGTATTCAAAAAGAGTTATACTACTTTGGTTGTAAATCACAGTCTTCTGAATTCCATGAATACTATTCTATGAGTACACACCTAAAATGGGCAAGCTACCCAGTTTTCTATTATTAGTAGGTACCAGATGGCAACACACTGTAGACTGTTCTTTGTAGTTCTTCCTTTCTGGAGTACCAGATGGTATTACCAAGACCCATAGAAGAAAAAATGTCAGTTTCTCCCTAAGCCCACAGTGTCATATATTTGTGACTTGGCAGTGTGCAATTGTGTTGCATGGTTAAATTACTATCTATACCTAAAAGATTAATGAAGTAGCTGGATGGCTGTTTCAGCCATCAAGTTTCTGTTTCCAATTTGTTTTTAATTTTTGTTGGTACCTAGTAGGTATTCAGATATTTTTAAAAATTTGTAATTAGAGCCAAATTTGATCTTGAAATTTACTAGTACTAACTTATGAACACAGAAAGGCAGTCATAAATGTCTTTACCCTTGAAGTGTCCCATCCTCCCACACACACAAATAGGTAAGCTCCCACTGATAGTCTTTCATTTTGTCACTTATTTGTTTATATTGCTGCCATACTACTGATATGGTCCCTTTGTTAGTAGGAATATTTCAGTGTTCAGATATGCTTCCTTGAGCCATATGGAGTTTTGCAAACAATAGTTAGTTTTTCTTGCTGACAAGTCAAATTCCATTCAGAGAAAGCAGCAGAGAGTAACAGAGCCTCAGATATTACGATTAAATGTACCAGTCACACCAACTCCTCCATGAGATGAAGAGTCGCCCCCATATACAACGAAGTTAGAAACCACTTATTAAGTAGCATGAACAAATTCCAGGCCTTCAAGTCTCTCCTAGGGTCTGCTTCATAGTCATTGAGTTTATCTTTCAAATATAATTACTTCTGCTTCAATTTAAGCCCCTTCTTATTTGGTTCTCATTGCAAATTAACTATAGGTATATTCTCTCCTACAGCTTTTAACACTATAGATTTTATTTGTCACGCATCAGCCATTAGTCACTAAATCGAAAAATACTTGTTGAGCTCCTGCTATAGAGAAGACACTGTGCTGGACATTGGATTTCTCAGCAAGCTGTAAACATCACAAATAATTATTTCTTTTTAACATCTTCTATGATATTAATAAACCATATTTAAGTAGAATTTTTAATAGATTTAAGGTTCTGCTAGGTGTGATTCTTAGAAGGATTCCTAGTCCACAATTTTGAGAGAAAGCATAGATGATCTTTTTGTCTCTGTTTAACATTTCATCAAAATAGAAACTATATAAATCATAACAATACATTTAGAACTCCTTTTGTCTTGAAATTTGTGTTTCAGCACCAGAATATTTTTCTTCACCATCATTGGAATTAAAACACTTCTAAAATGAAATGTGGCTATTCTGTAGCAGGAACTGAAGGAAATACCTCTATCTATAGAAAAAGAATCATAATTGCCAGATTGAAATTATTCATGGTAGACTTTGAAAAAGATGTCAAGGTCAAGCTTTGAAAAGTTGTTATGAAGAAAGTATATTTTTTACATATGTAGATAGGAGTTGGTTTTGAGATATGTTAGAGCAGGAAAAATTATCAGCTTATAATTACTCTTGTGGACATCTTCATGGCTGGGGATAAAAATTAACTAACTAGTGTTTCTTTCTTTAGGGCTTTGAGATTATTAAAACAGACCTTACTATCTGAAGGCTCTCTCAGGGAGACAGAAGCCAATGTGGAAAAAAACAAAAAACAAAAAACAACAACAAGAAAAAACTTCTTTTTTTCTTTCAACTACATTTCTATGTCTGCTTTAAGCTTAGAACAGCCAAGCAGTTTTTAAGCCAGAAATGTGTATGTAAGAGCACTTACCTTCCAAAATGTGTACATATGAAAAAAAAAGGAAGGTATTTTCTTCTTTTCAGCCAAGCTAAACTTATTCACAAGAAAATGAGAATTGCAATTGCTCTGGAGAATAGGAAAATTAGCACATGCAAAGAAAACCTTAAAAGAAAATTGGCCTCTTCATGGAAACTGGGGATGTTTTGTCCTAAGGTCAGTTATCAACAGCAGGATTTTTGTATTGCCATTGCAAGCATGTGATAGAAATGTTTGTTATTGTTGGAGAAGAAAAGGCTGAGACCCAATTATACCCTGTACTCTTTATTCGACCAAGACCTCAAAAGATGTCAAAGAAGCCATTTCTCCAAAGACAGCAACATCTATTGTGAGGCACTTTCATATTCAGCAGTCTGTAAGTTTGTAGGAGAAAACATAAGTGGTTAATTTAAAATAATTTTGGGCTCTAAAATGGACTTTGTTGCCTTTTTTGGTGGGGGTGGTGGGAATCGGATTCAGCCCATTTCCAAGGGATAGTTTCTTCATCTCAGACAACTATTTTGTGATCCTTTTTAAAAGACATTCTGAAAACTTTAACTCCTGCCCTTCTTCCGTATTACAGTTGTGTTATTCCAGAAATATTGTCTACTTTTTTAATATATTAGATTTTCATTCAGATCTTAAACATGCAAACATGTGATAGGTTAGCTTTTTAAGGGAGTTATCAGTACCACTGTATCTAAATGTTAGGTAAATGGGTAGATTTCTCTTTGAAGTTGGTATTTTCCTTGGCAGACAGCACTGTATCATGCTCTTCACCAAGCTATGCTCTGTAATGCTATAATCAAGGAGGCTACTAACTTGTGAACCTACAGTCAACACACCATTGCTGAAAACAAACTTTGATTAAGAACAGATTTGCTAGGGGGAAAAAAGAGTAAAGTGATATTTTCAAGCAAATATAATTAAAATTGTTTCATTAAAATATATACTGAGTGTATATTGCTCCACACTGAAATTTTATTTTGCATTAACTTGTTAAGTAATTCATTTTAGCAATCCTGCATCCCATTTTACTAGTACTACCTCTGAAATATACTGTCACCTTAAAACCACATCAGACTGTAATGTGAATTTTTGTAGAGTTTTTATTTAAACTTTTATAGAGGCAATAAATGATTTCCAACTAATAGACATCTATTTCTTTATTTTAATATTTATTTTTATAAGCCTTTGTGTTGTAAGCACTTTCCTCTTTTAAAGTGGATTATTTTCTCCCCAAAATACGGTTCTGATAAAATGAAAAATGAAGAGAATAATAAGGTGTTGGGTGTCAAAGAAGGGAGAAAATGGAGTGCTCATGTGAAAACTGAGTTGATTTCCAAGCTGACATGTGTACCGCCCTTAACTGACTTTACTTAACTCCAGTACCAATGGAATAAAGTGAATATTTTGTAATAGACAACAAATATGTCTAGGATATTATATTTAAATGGTAACATCAGCAAGTAAATTGCACAGTATAACAAAGTGTTATTTTTACAAGAGGTTTTTTTGTTTGTTTGTTTTAAATGTGGCGATGTTGCATCTAACTTTTCCTGGTTCTCTTCAAAACTACTTAAGCATGCTTTCAATTTGTGTGAAATATGTCCATGCCTTGTCAAAGCCTTTTACCAATTAAAACTCTTCATGTTACCTAACTAGTGGGGAAGGAATAAGAAAGGGCAAGTGGTATGTTTTAAATAGCATAACAGCAGTTTTTCTTCCCAGTTGGTAAATTTTCAAGAACATTGCAAGGAGTGAATCACATACAAATGTGCATCTCAAATGACTGAAGTCTTTCTCAGATCTGCAAAATTATTGACTTAAGATGGTGAAATCATTTTATTTTAGATAAGTGAATGAGTATCATTGCAAATCTATTTAAAAGACAAGTCAATGGATGAGTATGTCCATAAGATCGAGTGATATTTTTCACATCAAATGAAACTAAAGAAGTTTCACGTTTGTTTATATTTCTTTATAAAAGTAATAAATGTTCATTGCAGAGATTTTAGAAAATGTAGAAAATATATTAAAAAACAGAACCACTTGTAATCCCATCACCCAGTAAGAATCATTATTACATTTTAGAATATTTCATTCCAGTCATTTCTTCCACATATTATGTTCTCAAATATATATTTACAAAACTGGAATTGTGCTGAATATGCAGATGTGTGTCCTGCTTTTTCTCTTAAAAATGTATTGAGATCATTTTCGCATGTGAATTTGGCACAAGATATTTCTCCCCCAATTACATTTGGACTCAGAGGGGGAAAGCATTTTTTGTTTTTGTTTTGGTTTTTCTTTGTTTGCTTGTTTTTAAGCATTTTATTCATCTGAGTTTATTTTTCGCATTTTTTTATTTTTTGAATTATTTTTGGTACACAGTAGGTGTGTATATTTAAGGGATACAGGACATGTTATGATACAGGCTTGCAGTGTGAAATAAACACATCATGGAAAATGAGATATCTATCCCCTCAAGCATTTATCCTTTGAGTTACAAACAATCCAATTACACTATTCATGTTATTTTAAAATATACAATTAAGATATTATTAACTATGTCACCCTATTGTGCTATCAAATAGTGGGACTTATTTATTATATCTAATTATTTATTTTTTGTACTGGTTAACCATTCCCACCTACCACACCCCGCCCCCCACCCACCACTACCCTTCCCAGCTTCTGGTAATTATCCTACTCTCTATGTCCATGAGTCCAATTGTTTTGATTTTTAGATCCCACAAATAAGTGAGAACATGTGATGTTTGTCTTTTTGTGCCTGGCTTATTTCACTTAACATTATGATCTCCAGTTCCATCCATGTTGTTGCAAATGGCTGTATCTCATTCTTTTTGATGGCTGCATAGTACTCCATTATGTATATGTACCACACTTTTTTATCCATTCATCTGTTGATGGACCCTAAGGTTGCTTCCAAATCTTAGCTATTGTAAACAATGTTGTAACAAAGATAGGAGTGCAGATATTTCTTTGATGTACTTATTTCCTTTCTTTTGGGTATATACCTAGCAGTGGGAATGCTGGATCATACAAGTAGCTCATTTTAAAAATTTTTGAGGACTCTCCAAACTGTTCTCCATAGAGGTTGTGCTAATTTACATTTCCATCAACAGTGTACAAGGGTTCCTTTTTATCCACAGTCTCACCAGCATTTGTTAGTACCTGTCTTTTGGATACAAGCCATTTTAACTAGGGTGAGATGATATCTCATTTCAGCTTTGATTTGCATTTCTCTGATGATCAATGATATTGAGCATCTTTTCATATGCTTGTTTTTCACTTGTATGTCTTCCTTTGAGAAATGTCTATTAAAATCTTTTGCCCATTTTTAATCAGATTATTAGATTTTTTCTATAGAGTTGTTTGAGCTCCTTATATTTTCTGGTGATTAATCTCTTCTCAGATGGGTACTTTGCAAATATCTTCTCCCATTCTGAGGGTGTTCTCTTCATTTTGTTGATTTTATCCTTTGCTGCGCAGAAGCTTTTTAACTTGATGTGATCCCATTTGTCCAGTTTTGCTTTGGTTGCCTCTGTGTTTGGGGTCTCATTCAATAAATCTTTGCTCAGACAAATTTCCTGAAGATTTTCCCCATTGTTTTCTTAGAGTAGTTTCATGTCTTAGATTTAAGTCTTTAGTCCACTTTTCTTTACTTTTTGTATATGGCAAGAGATAGGGGCCTAGTTTCATTCTTCTGCATATGGATATCCAGTTTTCCTAGCTAGCACCATTTATTGAAGAGACTGTCCTCTCCCCAGCATATGCTCTCGGCACCTTTGTCAAAAATGAGTTCACTGCAGGTATGCGGATTTGCTTCTGGGTTCTGTTCTATTCTGTTACACTGGTCTATGGGTCTGTTTTTATGCCAGTACCATACTGTTTCGTTAACTATTGCTCTGTAGTATAATTTGAAGTCAGATAATGTGATTTCTCCAGTTTTGCTCTTTCTGCTTAGGATAGCTTTGGCTAGTCTAGGTCTTTTGTGGTAGTATATACATTTTAGAATTGTTTTTCATATTTCTGTGAAGAATGCCATTGGTATTTTGATAGGAATTGCATTCAATCTGTAGGTTGCTTTGGGGAGTATGGACATTTTAACAATCTTGATTTTTCCAATACAGGAACATGGAATAATATTCCATTTTGGAGGGTCCTCTTAGATTTCTTTTATCAGTGTTTTATAGTTTTCATTATAGAGGTCTTTCACTTCTTTGCTTAATTCCTAGGTATTTATTGTGTGGTTATTGTAAATGGAGCAACTTTTTATGTTTTTTTTCATACTGTACACTGTTGGCATTTAGCAATGGTACTAATTTTTGTATGTTGATTTTTAATCCTGCAATTTTCCTGAATTTGTTAATCAGTTTTAATCATTTTTTGGTGGAGTCTTTCGATTTTTCCAAATGTAAGATCATATCATCAGCCATCAGTATAATTTGACTTCTTTGTTTCCAATTTGCATATGCTTTATATCCTTCTCTTGGCTGACTGCTCTAGCTAAGGCTTCCAGTACTATTTTGAAGAACAGTGGTTAGAGTGGGCATCCTTGTCTTGCCCCAGATCTCAGAGAAAAGGCTTCCAGCTTTTTCTCATTCAATATGATATTAACTGTGGGTCTGTCATATATGGCTTTTATTTTGTTGAGGTATGTTCTTTCTATACCCAATTTTTTCAGGGTTTTTATTAGGAAAATATGTTGAATTTTAACAAATGATTTTTCAGCATCAATTAAAATGCTCATATGGTTTTTATCCTTCATTATGTTGATATGATGTTGATTTGTGCATATTGAAACATCCTTGCATCCCAGGGATCAATCCAAATTTGTCATGATAAATAATCTTTCTAACGTATCATTAAATTCTCTTGGCTTGTATTTTATTGTGGATTTTTGTATCAATATTCATCAGAAATATTGGCCTGCAGTTTTCTTTTTTCTTTTCTTTTATGTTTTGTTTTTTGTTGTTGTGGTGGTGGTGCCTTTGTCTGCTTTTGGTATCATGGTAATACTTGCCTTGTAGAATGACTTTGGAAGTATTCCTTCCTCCTCTCTTTTGTGTAATAGTTTGAGCAGGACTGGTATTGATTCTTCTTTAAATGTTTGGTAGAATTCAGCAATGAAATCAGCAGGTCCTGAGCTTTTCTTCAGTGGGAGACATTTACTATGGCTTTGACTTTGTTACTTATTTGTCTGTTCACATTTTGGATTTTCCTGGGTCAATCATAGTAGGTTGTAGGTATTTCTTCTAGGTTTTCTAATTTATTGGCATATAGTTGCTCATAGTAGCCACTAATGATCCTTTGAATTTCTTCAGTATCAGTTGTAAAGTCTGCTTTTCCATTTCTGATTTATTTATATGTTCTCTCTTTCTTTCTTAGTTGTCTGGCTAACGTTTTGTCAATTTTGTTTAACTTCTCAAATAAAAATTTTTGCTTCATTGATCTTTGGTATTGTTTTATTATTTCAATTTTATTTATTTCTGCTCTGATTTTCATTATTTATTGTTCTTATTTTGGGTTTGGTTTGCTCTTGCTTTTCTAGTTTTTCAAGATGCAAATTGTTCATTTGAAGTTTTCCTTTTTTTTTTTTTTTTTGGTGTAGTCGCTTGTAGCTATAAATTTCCCTCATAGTACTGCTTTTCTGCATACCATAGGTTTTGGTATGTTGTGTTTCCATTACTATTTGTTTCAAAAAATTTAAAGTTCCTTCATAATTTCTTTATTTACCCACTGGTCATTCAGGGGCATATTGGCTTATTTTCCATGTATTTGTATAGCTTCCAAAATTCCTCTTTTTATTGATATCTAGTTTTATTCCTTTGTAGTCAGATAAGATGCTTGATATTATTTCAATCTTTTAAATCTTTTAAGACTTGTTTTGTGACTTAACATATGGTCTATTTTTTTAAATAATCCATGTGCTGAGTAAAAGAATGTGTATTATTCAGCTCTTGAGTGAAATGTTATATAAATGTCTGTTAGATTCATTTTGTCTATAGTGCAGATTAAGTCTGATGTTTCTTTGTTGATTTTCTGTCTGGAAGATCTGTCCAGTGATGAACGTGGGGTGTTAAAATCTCCATCTATTATTGTATTGGAGCCTATCTTTCTCTTTAGGTCTAATAATATTAATTTTATATATCTGGGTGCTCCAGTGTTTGGTGCATATGTATTTAAAATTGTTATATCCTATTTCTAAATCGACCCCTTTATCATTATATAGTGACCTTCTTTATCTGTTTTTATAGTTTTTGTTTGGAAAGCTCTTTTGCTTGATATAAGTATAGCAACTCTTACTCTTTCTTGGTTTCCATTGGCATGGAAGATCTTTTTCCAACCCTTTATTTTCAGTCTATGTGGGTCTTTATAGGTGAAGTGTGTTTCTTGTAGGGAATAGATCAATGAGTCTTGTTTTTCATCCACTGAGGGAGTCCGCATCTTTTGATTGATAAGTGAGGACTTACTCCTGCCATTTTGTTATTTGTTTTCTGGTTGTTTTATGGTCTTCTCTTCCTTCTTTCTTACCTTCCTGTCTTCCTCTTGTGAGGGTGATTTTCTCTGGAGATATGATTTAGCTTTTTGCTTTTTATTTTTTTGCATATCCATTGTATGTTTCTTGGTTTGAAGTTACCATGAAGCTTGCCAATACTATCTTATAACCCATTATTTTAACTTAATAACTGCTTAACACTATTTGCATGAACAAACAAACAAGCAAAAAATTAACTACTAAAAACTGTATGCCTTAACTTCCTCTTACCACTTTTTAACTTTTTGTTGCTTCAATTTATTAATATATCTGATTGTACTGTCTATGTCTTGAAAAGTTGTAGTTATTTTTGATTGGTTCATCGTTCAGTCTTTCTACTCAGAATAAGAGTAGTTTACACACTACAGTTACAGTGTTATAATATTCTGTGTTTTTCTGTGTATTTACTATTACCAGTGAGTTTTGTACCTTCGGGTGATTATTTATTGCTCATTAATGTCCTTTCCTTTCTGATTGAAGTACCTCCTTTAGTATTTCTTCTAGGACAGGTCTGGCGTTTATGAAATCATTCAGCATTTGTTTGTCTCAGAAAATTTTTATTTTTCCTTCATATCTGAAGGATATTTTCACTGGATGTACTATTCTGGGTTAAGTTATTTTCCTTCAGCATGTTAAATATGTTATGCCATTCTCTCCTGGCCTGTAAGGTTTCCATTGAAAAGTCTGCTGCCAGGTATATTGGCTCTCCATTGTATGTTATTTACTCATTTTCTCTTGCTGCTTTTAGGATCCTTTCTTTATCCTTGACCTTTGGGAGTTTGATTATTAAATGTCTTGAGGTAGTCTTCTTTGGGTTAAATCTGCTTGGTATCAAATAACCTTCTTGTACTTGGATATTGATATCTTTCTCTAGGTTTGGGAAGTTCTCTGTTATTATCCCTTTGAATAAATTTTCTACCCCTATCTTATTATCTACCTCCTCTTTAAGGCCAATAATCCTTATTTAACAGATTTGCTCTTTTGAGACTATTTTCTAGATTCTGTAGGCATGCTTCATTGGTTTTCTTTTGTCTCCTCTGCCTGTTCATTTCCAAATAGCCTGTCTTCAAGCTCACTAATTCTTTCATATTCCTGATCAATTCTGCAATTGAAGGACTCCAATGCATTCTTCAGTAAGCCAATTGCATTTTTCAGCTACAGAATTTCCGCTTGATTCTTTTTAATTATTTCAATCTATTTGTTAAATTTATCTGATACAATTCTGCATTCCTTCTCTGTGTTATCTTGAATTTTTAATAGTTTCCTCAACACAGCTATTTTGTATTCTCTGTCTGGAAGGTCACGTATCTCTATTTTTCCAGAACTGCTTCCTCATGCCTTATTTAGTTCATTTGGTGAGGTCATGTATTCCTGGATGGTGTTGATGCAAGTAGATGGTCTTCAGTGTCTGAACTTTGAGGAGTTAGCTATTTATTGTAGTCTTCACTGTCTGAGCTTATTTGCAGCTGTCCTTCTTGAGGAGGCCTTCCAGATATTTAAAAGGAATTAGGTGTTGTGATCTAAGCTGTATCTGCTTTAGGAAGCAACCCAAGCTCAGTAATGCTCTAGTTATTACAGACTGATAGAAGTATTGCTTTGATGGCCTTGGACTGATCCGGGAGTATTCTCTGGATTATCAGGCAGACTCTTTTTTCCTTGTTCTACTTTCTCCCAACATACAGTCTCTCTTTCTGTTCTGAGCCACCTAGAGCTGGTGGTGGTGTGACACAAGCATCACCACTACTATGACTGCACTGGCTCAGACCTGAAGCCAGCATAGCACTGGGTCTCACCCAATACCTGCTGTAACCACTCCGTGGCTACTGCCTATGGTCACTCAAGGCCCTAGGGTCTATAATCAGTAGGTGGCAAAGCCAGCAAGGTGTGCTTCCTTCCTTTATGTTGATGAGGTCCCCCGGGCCCTGGGTGGCTTCAAAAGTGCCATCTGAGGGTCAGGGACTAGAGTCAAAAACCTTAGAAGTGTACCTGGTGTTCCATTGTATTGTGGCTGAGCTGGCACAGAAACCCCAAGACAAAATCCTTACCCACTCTTCTCTCCTCTTTCCAAATGCAGAGGAGCCTCACCCTGTAGCTACCACCACCCCAGGCCATGAGGAGTACTGCCAGACTACCTCCCATGTTTCCTCAAGGCCCAAGGTCTCTTAAGTAATGTTGCTGTGAATGCTTCCTGGTCCAGGACTCACCATCCAGGGAAGTGGACACACCTTTGGCCCAGGGCAAGTCCAGAAATGCTGTGCAAGAGTCAAGTCCTATAATCAGGGATGACAAGAGCCTGCTTGGTCTCTACAACCTGTGGCTGTGCTGGTACCTAAGGTGCAAGACAGTCACCTTTACTTTTCCCTCTGCTTTTCTTAAGCAGATGGAGTTTTGCCCCATAACCACCACATCGGGTTATATGCTGAGTCTCACCTGAAGCCAGCAAGTCTCAGAGGCTCACCAAGGCACTCGATATAGTATATAGGTATTGCTGGAGGGTATTCAAGGCTGAAGTGCTCTTCAGTTAGCAGGAGATAAATGCCGCCAGGACTGGGTTCTTTCCTACAAGACAACAGGTTCAATTCTGGCCCAGGGTGTGTCTAGAAATGTGGTCTGGTGGTTAGAGCCAGAAACAGGAGCCTCACAACTCTGAATGGTGTCCTATCCTGCTGTGGCTGAGCTTGCATCCAAGATACAAGACAAAGTCCTCCCAGCTCTTCCCTCTCTTCTTCTCAAGTGAAAGGAAGGAGTCTCTTTTGGAACCAGGAGCTGTGCAGCCTGGGGTAAGGGAAGGGGTGATGCCAGCACTCCCGGGGCTGCCCCTGATGGTGTCTATGTCACATGCCCCCCATCCCCACCTCCAGCCCACTCTCTCTGGACCTAGTTTAGCACTAGGATTCGCCTAAGCATTGCAGTCTTTGTGGCCTAGACTGATTTTTTTTTTTTTGACAGAGTCTCACTCTGTTGCCCAGGCTGGTGTACAGTGGCACAATTTCTCAGCTCACCGTAACCTCTGCTGCCCCCATTCAAGCAATTCTCGTGCCTCAGCCTCTGGAGTAACTGGGACTACAGGTGCCCGCCACCACACCCCTGGGACTACAGGTGACTGCCACCACACCTGGCCATTTTTTTTTTCTGTATTTTTAGCAGAGCCAGGGTTTCACTATGTTGGCCAGGCTGGTCTCGAACTCCTTACCTCAAGTGATCCGCCCACCTCGGCCTCCCAAACTACTGGAATTACAGGCATGAGCCACCTCATCCATTCTAAAACTAGAGAGTGATAAATACAGAACCTCTAGAAGTCTTGAGGGAATTATCACAATTGAGTCCACTAAGTGGCTGATGGGCAGGAGAGAGGAAATTCTAAATTCTAAAATCTAGAAGGAAAGGTGTGTATACTAGTATAATGATGGAGCTAGGATCAATGTTTTAAGAGTTAATTTGTGGGGGCAATTCTCAAGTTTTAACACCTAGTGGCAGTGTGGTCTTAGGACAAGTTATTTGACCTCTGTGTATTTCAGTTTCTTTGCAAGATGTGAATAATGACAGATAGTAACTATCTCATAGGGTTGTTGTGCTTAGTGTAGTGCCTAGTACACAGTAAGTGCTCAGTACATGTTAGCTAATACTGTTATTATTACTTCTAGAAAAGGATATTGAAGGAAGTCAAAGACAACTTCGACCTAGCAATTTTGCCCTGGGCATAGATGGCTCAAGGCAAACATTTAGGAGAATCAAAACAGCACTCAAAACAATTTCACCTAAATAGAGTATATGACCAGCACAGTTTTCACATTCAAAGGGCAGCACAATTTTATTGTTCACGCCCTCAGTGGTCTTCTCACTGCCTTAGAGAGTTAATAGGCCTACCAATCGAAGAGCTGCTATGGGAACTGGGCACATCTGGTACACTATCTTTCATTTAATAAAATATCGATGCCATACAACATTTTAAAGAAATAGCTATTTCTTTAAAAATTCATTTAACTTTATATATCAAATGTTGATCTCTGGCTCAATGTGTGTATGCATGCAGATGAATATCTGACACAGATCTTTGAAATCACTTGCAGAAAGTTTAGTTTACTTACTTTGTTTTTGCTTGTCATTAGTTTCCAATCAAGTGAATTTTAGCCACTTATTACTGGTTCTAGAGTAGATAAACTAACTATTTTTATCAAGCATATTTTATTTATCATGTGAATCTCTATCATTTTTTTCTAACTGCACATTACATATTTAAATGTAGCTTTCCTTCCAGTCTATTCATGGACACACATTTTGCTTTCTTTTTTTTTTTTTTTAAATTAGCTTTTATTTTAGTTTCAGAGGATACATGTGTAGGTTTCTTACATGGGTATATTGTTTAGAAAAATTAAGGCAGGAAGAGAAGACCAAATGCCACATGTTTTCACTTTCAAGTGGGAGCTAAACAGCGAGTACACATGGACACCAAAGATGGGAACAATAGATACTGGGGTCCACTAAAGAAAGGAGGGAGGAAGCAGAAGAAGGTTTGAAAAACTACTCGAGTAATGGGATCATTTAGACACGTTTTGCTTTCTAAGGGTTATCTTTCTAATCATATGCCATTTTAAAATGCCTAGTTTACCCTTGCATTAAGGATTTCACAACCTGTGTCTCCGCTGGCACACTGGGTCAGAGGAAAGGGTGACTTACCTTTGTCAAATCTGTTTATTGCACATAAGGCTATTTTTCTAAATCTGCTAATATAGGTCTTGGGAAAATTAAATGAATATTTCAATTGATTAATTTTCTCTTTTTTTTTTTTTTTTTTTTTTTGAGACGGAGTCTTGCTCTGTCGCCCAGGCTGGAGTCCAGTGGCGCGATCTCGGCTCACTGCAAGCTCCGCCTCCCAGTTCACGCCATTCTCCTGCGTCAGCCTCCCGAGTAGCTGGGACTATAGGCGCCCGCCACTACGCCCGGCTAATTTTTTGTATTTTTAGTAGAGACGGGGTTTCACCGTGTTAGCCAGGATGGTCTCGATCTCCTGACCTCGTGATCCGCCCGCCTCGGCCTCCCAAAGTGTGGCGCTGATTAATTTTCTTATATAGCCTCATAAATTATTGTATTCACTTTTCACTTTTAAAGCATTCATCAATATGTTAACTTGAAAAAAACAACGACAATAACAAAAGATTAAGACATAAGAAGCAAGAGACCTTGGGTTCACTTGATAACAAATATTGATCCATTTGGATACAAATGTTTGCGGAAATCAGGAAGATAAAAAAGAATTCGGGTACAGAAATTTAGAAAACTCTAGAATGAAGACAATATCAAGTTCAAAATGCAATGAAACTACTATTCAATAATTAATATTTCTCCTTATCCTAATTAGAAACTCATAAAGTCCTAGGCATTAGTCTTTAATTTTTTTTTGTTGGCTTTCTCTAGTACAAACATTTTTTATTAGAAGGGGCTGAAATTTTTAAGACAGAAAGTTGTTGGATTCTAAAATGTATGTCCTTGCCTCTCCTTTCAACAATAAGATACAGTGTATTGTGGTATAGCAGAAAGAACACTGACATGTGTTATTGTTCACCATATAAATTCCTTAAGCCTCAGTTTCTTCATCTATGAAATAGGAATAATAATTCCTTATCTGACTGCCTCTTACAGTGATTGTGAAAATCAAATGAACTACTTTTAAGAACTCTTTGCAATTTGTGAAGCACTGCAGAAATGTAAAAGTTTAACACCTATTAATCAAGTATTTACTGGTTGCCTAGGTATTCAAGTCTATATGGACACTGCTGGATATACGGAAAGGGCTATGATTTTTGGCTCCCAGGAGCTTGATGTACTGTGAAAAATTAGGCTTAAACAGATGAAATGTAACTTGAAAGATCACACAAGTGTTAAATGTCATGGTATGATTGCTAGGGGATTGGTGGGGAGTTACTGTGAGGAGACCTCAATGAGGTGTAGCTGTCAAATGAAACTTTGTGTAAAAGGATAATTATGAATGGAATCAGATCCAATTAAGATCTATTCAGCCAAGTATTCATCCCAGATGGCCACCAAGATATGATATAAATAAAATATATGATTGTTCTCACAGGTTTAAAGAGAGCTTCCAAATATTTTATTAGCTTTCCTCAAAGCACTGTCCATTACATATTGATCAACTGAGAATGTATTTCAGTCCTGCTTGAACTTGTTTGTTTATATTTTGTGTCTGCACTCATATAATTAATATGTATTTAATTGGTATTATGTGTCAGACATTGTACTGGGTGCTAGATACTCTGACCTCATAAAACAAGTTCATTGATTTAATATTCTCTGTGTAGATTCATAGAATATTAAGGCTGAAGAAGATGTAAGAGTTTCTCTGGATCAAATCTTTCAGAAAAGTACAGAAAAGGAAAATTGTGCTGAAAGAGATGACATCATTAACTCAAGATCTCACAGAAAACAAAACGTAAAACCAGAACTACACTCTAGGTCTCTTGCTGGCCAGGGCAGTGTATTTTCCATCAAAAAAGATTATACAATAGTACCTTATTTGAGTTAATCTACCCCTACTTCCTTAAGGCAATTGTTCTCAAACTTAAAAATTCATAAGAATCATGGAGTTAGGTGATTTGTTTAAAATGCAAAGACTTGGGCCTTATACCTAGAGATTCTGAAACAATTGGATTCCAAAATATCATTATTTTTACATTTTTTTATTTTCAATGTTTATATTTTATTTATTTATTTATTGTTATGTTTCAGGGTACATAGTAGGTGTATATATTTATGAGGTACATGAGATGTTTTGATAGTATCCATCCCCTCAAGCATTTATCCTTTCAGTTGTGAACAATCTACACTCGTAAATTTACATTATTTTAAAATGTACAACTAAGTTATTATTGACTATCTAATCCTATTGTGCTATCAAATAGTAGTTCTTATTCATTATTTCCATCTTTTTGTGTACCCGTTAACCATTCCCACCTCCCCCTGCCAACCTGCAATACCCATCCCAGCGTCTGCTAACTATCCTTCTACTCTCTATGTTCATGAGTTCATTGTTTTGATTTTTAGATCCCACAAAAGAGTGAGAACATGTGAGGTTTGTCTTTCCATGCCTGGCTTATTTCACTTAACACAATGATCTCCAGTTCCATTCACGTTGTTGCAAATGACTGGATACCATTTTGTTTCATGGCTGAATAGTACTCCATTGTGTATAAGTACCACATTTTCTTTATCCATTCATCTGTTGATGGACACTTAGGTTGCTTCCAAATCTTAGCTATTGCAAACACTGCTGTAGGAGTGCAAATATCTCTTCCATATACTGATTATACTGATTTCCTTTCTTTTGAGTGTATACCCAACAGTGGGATTGCTGGATCATATGGTAGCTCAATTTTTAGATTTTTGAAGAAACTTCAAACTGTTCTCCATAGTGATTGTACTAATTTACATTCCCACCAACAGTGTACAAGGGTTCCCTTTCCTACAGGTCCTCACCAGCATTTGTTATTGCCTCTCTTTTTAATATAAGCCATTTTAACTAGGGTGAGATGATATCTCATTTTAGTTTTGATTTGCATTTCTCCGATAATCAATGATGTTGAGCATTTTTTCATATGGCCTGTCTGCCATTTGTACATCTTTTTTTTTTTAGAAATGTCTATTCAAATCTTACCCATTTTTTGATCAGATTATTAGATTTTTTTCCTATAGAGTTCTTTGAACACCTTATATATTCTGGTTATTAATTCATTGTCAGATGGGTAGTCTGCAGATATTTTCTCCCATTCTGTGGGTTTTTGCTTCACTTTGTTGATTGTATCCTTTGCTGTGGAGAAGAATTTTAACTTGATGTGATCCCATTTGTCCATTTTTGCTTTGGTCACCTGTGCTTGTGGAATAGTGCTCAAGAAATTTTTGCTCAGACCAAGGTCTTGGAGAGTTTTCCCAATGTTTTCTTGTAGTAGTTTCATAGTTTGAGGTCTTAGATTTTAGTTGTTAATTCATTTTGGTTTGATTTTTGGATATGATGAGAGATAGGGTTCTAGTTATATTCTTCTGCATATGGATATCTAGCTTTCCCAGCATCATTTATTGAAGAAATTTCTTTTCCCAGTTTATATTATTGGCACTTTTGACAAAAATGAGTTCACTGTAGGTGTGCAGATTTGTTTCTGGGTTCTGTGTTCCATTACATTGGTCTGTCTGTTTTTATGTCAGTACCATGCAGTTTTGCTAACTATATCTCTGTAATTTGAAGTCAAGTAATGTGATTCCTCCTTTTGATCTTTTTGCTTAAGGTAGCTTTAGCTATTTTGGGTCTTTTGTGGTTCAATAAAAATTTTAGAATTTTTTTTCTATTTCTGTATATAATATCATTGGTGTTTTGGCAGGGATTGCATTGAATCTGTAGATTTCTTTGGATAGTATGGACATTTTAACAAAATTGATTCTTCTAATCCATGAACATACTATATCTTTCCATTTTTTCGTGCCTTCTTCAATGAGTTTCATCAATGTTTAGTAGTTTTCATTATAGAGATATTTCACTTCATTGGTTAATTCCTAGGTGTTTAATTTTATTTGTGGCTATTACAAATGGAGTTACATTTTTTATTTATTTTTTGGATTTTTCACTATTGGCATATAGAAATGCTAGTGATTTTTGTATGCTGATTTTGTATGCTGCAACTTTACCTAATTTGTTCATCAGTGCTAATAGTTTTTTGTGGAGTCGTCAAACTTTTCCAAATATAGGATCATATCACCTGCAAGCAAGGATAATTTGAATTCTTCCTTTCAGATTTAGATGCCCTTTCTATCTTTCTCAAGTCTGATTGCTCTAGGTACGACTTCAGGTACCATGTTAAATAACAGGAGTAAAAGCAGATATCCTTGCTGTATTCCAGATCTTAGAGAAAAGGATGTTATTTTTTCAGTATTTAGTATGATACTAGCTTGGGTTTTAAGTATATGGCTTTTATTGTGTTGAGGTATGTTCCTTCCATACCCAGTTTTCTGAGGGTTTTTATCATGAGGAGATGTTGGATTTTATCAAATGTGTTTTCAGCCACAATTGAAATGATCATATAGTTTTTGCTATACATTCTGTTTGTATGATGTATCACATTGATTTGCACATGTTGAACCATCTTTACATTTCAGGGATAAATTCCATTTGGTCATGCTGAATTATCTTTTAATTGTATTGTTGAATTTTGTTTGTTATAGTAGTAATTTGTTGACAAATTTTGCATCAATATTCGTCAGAGTTATTGGTCTGCAGGGTTTTTTTGTTTTGGGTTTGTTTGTTTATGTGTCTTTGTCTTGTTTTGGTATCTGGGTAATGCCAGCCTCATAGAATGAGTTTGGAAGTATTACCTCCTCTCTTTTTTGGAATAGTTGAGGTATGACTGATACTATCTCTTCTATAAATGATTGGTAAAATAAAGCAGTAAAATCATAGGGTCTCAGGCTTTGATCAGTTTGGTCTATAGTGCAGATTAAGTCTGATGTTTATTTGTTGGATTTCTATCTGGAAGATCTGTCTAACACTGAAAGTCTGGTGCTGAAGTCTCCAGTTATTACTGTATTGAAGTCTATCCCTTTATATCTCTAATAACATTTGCTTTATATAAAGTATAGCGACTCCTGCTCCTTTTAGGTTTCCATTGGCATGGAAATTTTTTTCCGTCCCTTTACTTTCAGTCTATGTGTGTCTTTACAGGTGAAATGCATTTCTTATAGGCAATAGATCAATCAACCTCATTTCTTTATCCATGCAGTCACTCTATGTCTTTTGATTGGAGAGTTTAGTTTTACATTCTATTTTGTTATTGATAAGTAAAGACTTACTCTTTCAATTTTGTTATTTTTTTTCTGGTGAGTATGTGGTCTTTTCCTTCTTTCCTTCCTGTCTTCATTTTTGTGAAGGTGATTTTCTCTGGTGATAGGATATAGTCTTTTTGCTTTATATGTGTATCTGTTGCATGTTTTTTTTGGTTGGATGTTACCATGAGGCACACAAATACTGTCTTGTAACCTATTATTTTATACTAATAGCACTGTTTGCATAACCAAACAAGTGAAAAAATAACTAATAAAGATTATATGCCTTAACTGTGTACCCCTACCTTTAAATATTTAATTGTTGCTACTTATGTCTTTTTGTACTGTCTATATCTTGAAAATGTGTTGTCATTATTTTTTATTGGCTTATTGTTTCATCTTTCTACTTAAGAGTAGTTTACACCCTGCAGTTACAGTGTTATAATATTCTGTGTTTTTCTGTGTACTATTACTAGTTAGTGTTGTACCTTCAGATAATTTCTCATTGCTGATTAAAGTCATTTTCTTTCTGATTTAAGCAGTCCCTTTCACATTTCTTGTAGGACAAGTCTGGTGTTGATGAAATCACTCAGTTTTTGTTTGTCTAGGAAAGTCTTTCTTTCTCCTTCATGTCTGAAGGATGATTTTGCCAGATATGCCATTCTGAGGTGAAAGTTCTTTTCCTTCAGCACTTTGAATATATCATGCTACTCTCTCCTGGCCTGTAAGGTTTCCACTGAAAAGTCTGCTGCTGGACCTATTGGAGCTCCATTGTATGTTATTTCTTTTTGGCTGCTGTTTTTAGGATCCTTTCTTTGTCTTTGACCTTTGTGAGTTCGATTATTAAATACCTTGAGGTAGTCTACTTTGGGTTAAATCTGCTTGGTGGTTTATCACCTTCTTGAACTTCAATATTGATATCTTTCTCTAAGTTTGGGAAGTTCTGTGTCATTATCCTTTTGAATAAACTTTCTATCCCTAACTCATTCTCTACTTTCTCTTTAAGGCCAATAACTTTTAGATTCGCCCTATTGAGACTATTTATTACATCCTGTAGGTGTACTTCATTTTTTTTCTTTTGTCTCTACTAACTGCATATTTTCAAATAGCCTGTCTTCAAGCTCACTATTTTTTTCTTCTGCTTCATCGATTCTGCTATTAAAAGACTCTCATGCATTCTTCAGTATGCCAATTGCATTTTTCAACTCTAGAATTTCTACTTGATTCTTTTTAGTAATTTCAATCTCTTTATTAAATTTTAAATATCTTTGTTAAATTCTGAAAGAATTCTGAGTTCTTTCTCTGTGTCATCTTGAATTTGTCGGAGTTTCCTCAACACAGCTATTTTGAATTCTCTGGCAGAAAAATACACATATCTGTTTCTCTATGATTGGTCCCTGGTGCCTTATTTAGTTCATTTGGCAAGGTCATATTTTCCTGAATGATCTTGATGCTTGTAGATATTCATCTGTCTCTAGGCATTGAAGATTTAGGTATTAATTGTAGTGTTCACAGTCTAGGCTTGTTTTTACCTGTCCTTGGGAGGGCTATCCAGATATTTGAGAGGACTTCGGTGTTGTGATCTCAGCTGTATCTGCTTTAGAAAGGATGCCAAGGCCACTAATGCTGTGGTTCTTGCACACTCTTAAGGTACCACCCTGATGGTCTTGGACAAAATCCAGAAGAATTATATGGATTACCAGGCACAGACTCTTGTTCTCTTTCCTTACTTTCTTCTAAACAAACGGGGTCTCTCTCTCTGTTCTGAGCTACCTGGAACTGAGGATAGAGTGACACAAGCACCCTTGTGGCCAACACCCCCAGGTCTTCTGTGAGTCAGACCTGAAGCCAGCACAGCACTTAGTCTTGTCCAAGGCCTTCTGTAACCACTCCCTGGCTACTGCCTATGTTCCCTCAGAGCCCTGGGGCTCTACAGTCAGCAGGTGGCAATGCCAGCCAGGACTGTGTCCTTCCCTTCAGGGCAACAAGGTACCCCAGGCCTCAGGCAGGTCTAATGGTGCCATCCAGGAGCCAGGTCCTAGAGTCAAAAGCCTTACAATTCTACGTGGTGTTCTACTGTACTGTAACTGATCTGGCACTCAAACCACAAGATGCAGTCCTTCCCCATGCTTCCCTCCCCTTTCCAAAGGCACAGGAGCCTCACCCCATGGCCACGGCCACCTCAGGCCCGCAGAGATTACCGCCAGACTTCTGCCAATGTTTCCCTAAGGCCCTAGGGCAGTTCCTTCGGCTTGTGTAAAAGTCACCTGGCCTTGGACTCACCTTTCAGGGCAGTGGGCACTCGTCTTGCCCACGGCAGGTCCAGAAATGCCTTCAAAGAGTTGAGTCCTTGAATCGGGAACCCCAAGAGGCCTTTTTGTGCTCTTTTCCCCTGTGGCTAAGCTGTTGCCTAAGTTGCAAGACAAGAGCCCTTTACTTTTACTTTCTCATTTCTGAAGCAGAAGGAGTCGCACCCTGTAGACACCGCAGCCACTTGAGGATATGCTGAGTCTCACCTGAAGCTAGCAACTCTCAGGGTCTCATCAAAAACCCTCAACTTCATACCTGGGTATCACTGATGGCTATTCAGGTCCCAAGGGGCCTCAGCTGGTGATGAAACCTGCCAGGACTGGGTCCTTCCTTTCAAGTCAGTGGGTTCTCTTCTGGTCCACAAAATCAGGTAAGCACTCACAGTACCTGGTTTTAACTTCATATTGCTTAAAGAGGCACTGAAGAGGTAGAAAAAAACTCTCTCAAATCACTGACGTATTTAGACATGTCTGTGAGCTAGGGCATCATGACTCTAACCAGTGCTGTATCTTGCTGTGGCTGAGCTGGTATCCAAGATACAAGACAAAGTCCTCCCCAATCTTCCCTCTCCTCTTCTCAAGTAGAAGGATCTATGAGCTGTGCAGCCTGGGGTTAGGGGAAGGATGATGCCAGCACTCCCACAGCCATCCCAGTTGGTGTCTCAATAGGCCACATGCTGCCTCCCCAAGTCCATTGGCTCTGGGCCAAATTCAGTACAAGTACTTGCTTGGGTGTTGCAGTCTTCGTGGCCTAGACTGCTTTTTAAGTTTATTTGGAGCCCCAGAGCGCTTTAACCTGTGGTGACTAGGCTTGCAGGAACTCAAGCTCTGACTGCTCAGATCCATAATTCCATTCTTAGTAGGGCTGGTTTAAATGCTCCCTCTATGTGTGGGTGTCAGCTGAATTTGGTCTGGTTTTCCTTTCTGCTATAAGAAGAGAAGCACTGAGTTTCATGCTCTACAATTGCTGGTTCTCCCTCTCTGCAGGGCACAGAAACACTCTCCACACCATGCTACCACAGCTGGGGGTGGGGGAGGGGTAATGTCAGTGATTTGAGATTGTTTTTTTCTACCACTTCAGTGCCTCTTTCAATGATATGAAGTAAAACCATTTACTGTGAGTGTTTACCTGATTTTTTGGTTCTTACAAAGTTTCTTTTTTTGTGCATAGATAGTTGTTAAATAGGGGTGTCCGTGAAGGGGTGGGAGGGAAACCATTGTTGACCTTCTTTTCTGCCATCTTGTTTTAATCCTTCCAAAGCACCATTCTTAGCAGAAAGAAAAGATTATTCTAACATTCATATGGAACAAAAAAAGATGCTGAATAGCCAATGCAATCTTGAGAGAAAAGGTGCTAGAGGCATCACACTACTTGAGTTCAAAATGTACTACAAAGTTATAGTATTCAAAACAGCATAGTATTTGCCTAACAGTAGGCACATAGACCAACAGAACAGAATAGAGAATCCAGAAATAATTTCACACACTTATAGGCAACTGATTTTTTACAAAGGCACCAAGAGTATACATTGAGGAAAGGACAGTCTCTTCAATAAATCATGGTGGATAATCTGGATTTCTACATGCAGAAGAATAAAACTAAATCCCTGTCTCTCATCATATACAAAAGTCAACTCAAAATGGATTAAAGAATAAATGTAATACCTGAAACTATGAAACTATTAGAAGAAAACATAGGGGAAACACTTTATTACATTGATCTTGGCAATGATTTAACAAAAAACCTCAAGAGCATAGGCAAAGAAAGCAAAAATAGACAAATAAAATTTCAGCAGACTAAAAAGCTTCTGCTCATCAAAGGAGACAATCAAAAGAGGAAAGAGACAATCTGTAGAATAGAAGTAAATATCTGCAATTATGTATTTCTCAACAGGGTAATGTTCGGACTATATAAGGAAATCCATAGCAAAAAATAAATAATCAGATTTTTTTAAATGGTCAATCAGAAGGCTGAGATGGCAGAATCATGGGAGCCCAGCAGTTTGAGGCTGCAGTGAGCTTTGATTGCTCCACTGCACTCCAGTATGGGTGACAGACAAGACTTTGCCAAAAAAAAAAAAAAGCCTTTGTAGATTCTGAATAGTAGACCTCTGTCAGATGGATAGATAGCTAAAATTTTCTCATGTTCTGTAAGTTGTCTGTTCACTCTGATAACAGTCTCTCTCTCTTTTTTTTTTCAGTTGCAAGATTTATAGAGTGAAAACAGAGCTCTGATACAATGGAGGGGTGGAGGGACCCAAAGGGGTTGCCTATCCGGCTCAAATGCCTGGGTTTATATTCCGACGATTGTCCCTCCCCGTGCTCTCAGGTGATAGATGATTTGACTATTTCTTTACCTCCTGCTTTTAGCCTAATTGATATTTTAGCGAGCCCTCTTTACTACCTGATTGGTCGGGTGTGAGCTGAGTTACAAGCCCTGTGTTTAAAGGTGGGTGCAGTCACCTTCCCCAGCTAGGCTTAGGAATTCTTAGTCGGCTTAGGAAATCCAGCTAGTCCTTTCTCCACTCTGATAATAGTTTCTTTTGCTGTGCAGAAGCTCTTTAGTTTTCTAGTTTAATTAGATCCCATTTGTCAATTTTTGTTTTTGTTGCAATTGCTTTTGGTGTTGTCATGAAATCTTTGCTTATGCCTATATTCTGAATGACATTATCTATATTTTCTTTTGCGGTTTTTATAGTTTTGTGTTTTACATTAAAGTTCTTTTTTTTTTTTTTTTTTTGAGACGGAGTTTTGCTCTTGTTGCCCAGGCTAGAGTGCAATGGCGTGATCTCGGCTCACTGCAACCTCCACCTCCCAGGTTCAAGCGACTCTCCTGCCTCAGCCTCTGGAGTGGTTGGAATTACAGGCATGCGCCACCATGCCCAGCTAATGTTTATATTATTAGTAGAGATGGGGTTTAACCATATTGGCCAGGCTGGTCTTGAACTCCTGACCTCAGGTGATCCACCTGCCTCGGCCTCCCAAGTTGCTGGGATTACAGGCGAGAGCCACCACACCTGGCCTACATTAAAGTCTTTAATCCATCTTGAGTCATTTTTGTGTATGGTGTAAGGAAGGGTTCCAGTTTCAATTTTATGCATGTGGCTAGACAGTTCTCCTAGCACTATTTATTAAATAGGGAATCCTTTCCCCATTGCTTGCTTTTGTCAGGTTTGTCTATGATCAAACGGCTATAGATCTGTAGTCTTATTTCTGAGTTCTCTATTCTGTTCTGTTGGTCTATGTGTCTGTTCTTGTACCAGTACCATGCTGTTTTGGTTACTGTAGCCTTGTAGTAGTTTGAAGTCAGGTAGCACGATGCTTCCAGCTTTGTTCTTTTTGCTTAGAATTGACTTGGCTATTTGGGTTCTTTTTCTTCTGGTTCCATATGAATTTTTAAATAGTTCCTTCTAATTCTGTGAAGAATGTCAATGGTAGTTTAATGGGAATAGCTTTGAATCTATAAACTACTTTGGGCAGTATGGCCATTTTCACAATATTAATTCTTTCTATCAACCACGTTAAAAAGTGGTCAAAAGACATGAACAGAAACTTCTCAAAAAAAGACACACATGTAGCCAAAAAACATGAAAAAAAAAGCTCAACATCACTGATCTTTAGAGAAGTGCAAATCAAAATCCCAGTGAGATATCATCTCATGCCAATCAGAATGGCTACTGTTAAAAGTCAAAAAACAACAGATGCCAGCTAGATTGTGGAGAAAAAGGAACACTTTTTCACTGTTGGTGAGAGTGTAAATTAGGTCAACCATTGTGGAAGACAGTGTGGCGATTCCTCAAAGACCTAGAAGCAGAAATACCATTTGACCCAGCAATTCCATTACTGAATATATACCCAAAGGAATATAAATCAGTCTGTTATAAAGATACATGGACATGTATGTTCATTGCAGCACTGTTTACAATAGCAAAGTTGTGGAGTCAACCTAAATGACAGACTGGATAAAGAAAATGTGGTATGTATATACCATGGAATACCATGCAGCCATAAAAAGGAATGAGATCATGTCCTTTGCAGGCCATGGATGAAGTTGGAAGCCATTATCCTCAGCAAACTAACACAGGAACAGAAAACCAAATACTGCATATTCTCACTTATAAGTGGGAGCTGATTGGTGAGAACACATGGACACATTGGGGGTAACAACACACAATGGGGACCTGTTGCGGGGGCTGGAGAAGGGAAAGCATCAGGAAGAAGAGTTAATAGATTCTGGGCTTAATACCTAGGTGAAGGGATGATCTGTGCAGTAAAGTTCCATGACACACATTTATCTATGTAACAAACCTGCATATCCAGCACATGTATCCCTGAAATTAAAATAAAAGTTGAAAAAAGGCAATAGTCCTAAATAGATATTTCTCAAAAGACAGCATACAAATAATCGACAGGCATATGAAAAAATCCTCAACATCACTGATTATCAGGGATATTCAATCAAAAACACAATGAGATATCACTTATTTTAGTTGGAATGGCTATTATCAAAGAGACAAAAAAACAGATGCTCACATGGATGTGGAGAAATGGGAACTCTTACACACTGTTGTTGGGAAAGTAAACTAGTAAAGACGTTATGGAAAACCCTATGGAGTTTCCTCAAAAAAACTAAAAATTGAACTACCATATGATCCAGCAATCCCACTACTGGGTTATTTATCCAAAGGAAATTAAATCAATATGTTGAAGAAACAGCTGCACTCCCACATTTATTGCAGCACTATTTACAATAACCAAGATACGGAATCAACCTAAGTACTCATTAGCAGATGAATGGACAAAGAAAATAGTATATATACACAATGGAATATTATTTAGCCACAAAAAAGAATGAAATAATGTCCTTCGCAGTAACATGGATGAATCTGGGAGATGGTATGTTTAAAGTGAGATAAGCCAGGCTTAGAAATACAAATATTGCATGATCTCACTCATTTGTGGAATTGAAAAAAGTACATAGTAGAATAGTAGTTACCAGAGGAAAGGAAGGAGAGGGTTGAGTGGGGTAATAGGGAGAAATTGGTCAATGGATACAAAATTACAGTTATATAGGAGAAATAATTTCTGGTATTCTATTACAACAATAGAGTGCCTGTAGTTAACAATGTTATATTTTATATTTTAAAATAACTAGAGGAGAGGATTTTAAATGTTATGACCATAAAGATATAGTAAAAGAGGTGATGGATATACTAAATAACCTGATTTCATCATTACACAATGTATACATGCATCACAACATCACATTGTAACCCATAAATGTGTATGATTAGGTCATGTCTATTAAAAATAACAATAAATTATGTTAATCATTTTTTAAATGAATAAATAAAGAACTTGCTCACTGAAAAAAAACACACAATAAACTATAGGCTGATATTTTGTCATTTTTGCCTTTTAAAATAAAATAAAATTTTGCCACTTGATTGTGACTTAAGTGGTCCTCTGATCATGCTCAGAGAAACTTGGTATTAAAATCTCAAGTAATGACAATACACAGTTCCATTGTCCTGAGATTTGATGTTACTCTTATTTAATATGCTCCATGATATTAAGGACCTCATTAATCTTTGCAGCCTTTGTCTTTGCCTACGGAAAAAAAACCTAATTTTTCAGGTTTTTTTACATTAAAGGCTTTTATGTTATTAAAATTTTTAGCTTCTTTATCAAAAATGACTACCTCATACCTTTACTGCTATGACAATGACCCCAGGCTGAGTTGATTGCTCATGAATGAATACCTGTCTGGATTTTTCAGAAAATTAAGAAGGATTTTGTATTAGAGCAGAGTACATGGTGCCTAGCACAGAGCTTAGAACCAGGTCTTGATGACAGTAAATGTAGGTTCCTAAGGAAAGGTGCATTAAAATTCTATACAAAGCAACAACACACACACACACACACACACACACACACACACACACACCTCACATAAAAACACACACATAGCACATATAACTACAGTCCACAAATAAGAATGTCACTAACTGGTTGATCAGATTCTAGGACAATAATTGGGTTACTTGCTGCTAGTGGGGGAAATAACTTATGTATAAAATATTACTGATATGGAGCTCTCTCTCTCTCTCGTGTGTACATGCATGTGTACATTTTTACCTATTCCTCCCCTGAACCTAGATGGGTCAAAAGACATGGTCCACTGCTGCCTGTTGGCCTCTTCTCAAGCACATCGATTCAGTTTCCTGTACTATGCAGCCAGCTGGAGGCTGGTATGGGTGATTTAGGCTCAGGAGGAGGGACAAGATATCTGTTAATTTTCTAGCTTAAGCCATGTTCTTTTCTCCAACCACTTTTACAGTAACATCAGCATTGAGGTTTTAGCATCCCAGATAATACAGTTACACTTCATTTTCACATTTACCATTGCTTCCCATGTGCTTTCTTCCTTAAGTGCCTCAAAGTAGAAAAGAGGGTGAATGACATGGAGGGGTTTGGATATTTGAGCCTCGATAGCACTCCAAACCCCAACCATAGCAGATCAATATTTTAAGACTAATACTGTTGAATCTTTTATCAGGAGAAAAGTGATTTATCCAAGTTCCAAGAGTTAGACAATAACACAGAAATCAGTAGAAAACCCAAGATTATTTTGGTCATGTCCTATACTATTTATGCTAAATAATTCTATGCTAAACAGCCATTTGGGGTTACTTATTCTCAAAGTTAATAGTATTGTCAGGTCTTTGACATATTCCAGAAACAAAATGGAATCACAATATACAGTCATTACTAGGTATTAGAGGGGGATGGGTTTCAGGACCCCCATGATACTAAAATTTATGAATGCAAAGTCCCTTATATAAAATAATATACCTAAGAGTTATTGGCCATAGAAAGAGGTAGAGAATGAGATAAGGGTAGAAAGTTTATTCAACGTGAAAATAACAGAGAACGTCCTAAACCAAGAGAAAGATATCAGTCTCAAAACACAAGAAAGGTATAGAACACCAAGCAGATTTAATCCAAAGAAGACTACCTCAAGGCATTTAATAATCACACTCCCAGATGTCAACGATAAAGAAAGAATCCTAAAAGCGGCAAGAGAAAACAGACAACGTACAATGGAACTCTCATATGTCTAGCAGCGGACTTCAGTGTAAACCTTACAGGTCATGAGAGTGGCATGGCATATTTAAAGTACTGAAGGAAGAAACCTATTACCTTAGAATAGTATATCTGGTGAAAATATCCTTCAGATATAAAGGAGAAATAAAGACTTTCCTAGACAAACAAAAGCTGAGGGACTTTATCAATACAAGAAATGCTAAAAGGTGTACTCCAGTCAGAAATAAAAATGCATTAAATAGTGAGCAATAAATAATCACCTGAAGATGCAAAATTCACTGGCAATAGTAAGTACATACAAAAACAGGGAATATTATAACACTGTAACTGTGGTGAGTATACTACTGTTATCCTAAGTAGAAAGACTAAATGTTGAACCAATCAAAAATATAACTACAACAACATTTGTTGTTTCTATTTACATCTTATTTTACTGACTTCATAGTATAGTACAATGTATGTCAGTGTAATAAGATATAAAGATAAACAACAAAAAGTTAAAATGCGAGAAGACAAAATTAATGCAAGTTTTTATTAGTTTTCTGTTTGCATGCTTGCTTATGCAAATAGTGTTATGTTGTTATCAGGTTGAAATCAGGGGTTATAAGATAGTATTTGCAAGCCTCATGGTAACCTCAAACGAAAAAACATAGAATAGATACACAAAAAATAAAAAGCAAGAAACAGTCATATCACCATAAAAATCATCTTTACTAGAGCAAGACAGGAATGAAAGAAAGAAGGAAGGAAAGACCACAAAACAACCAGATGACAAATAACAAACTGGTAGGAATGAGTCCTGAGTTATCACTAAAAACATTGAATGCAAACAGTCTAAACTATCCAATCAAAATATATAGACTGGCTGAATGGATTACAAAATAGGACCCACTGATCTTTTGCCCACTAGAAACACACATCACCTATAAAAACACACATAGGTTGAAACTAATGGGTTGGGAAAAGATATTCCATGCCAAGGGAAACCAAAAAAAAACAGGAGTCACTATACTTATATCAGACAAAATAAATTTCAAAACAAAAACTATAAGAACAGAAAAGAAGGTCATTATGTGAAGAAAAAGGGGTTATTTGGCAAGAGGATATAACAATTGGAAATGTATATTCACCCAACAAGGTAGCACCCAGATATATAAAGGAAATATTATTAGAGCTATAAACAGAGATAGACCCCAAAAAAATAATAGCTGGAGAGCTTAACACCCCACTTTCAGCATTGAACAGATGTTCCAGACAGAAAATGAACAAAGAAACATCAGACTTAATCTGCTCTATAGATCAAAAGTATCTAATAAATATTTACAGAACATCTCATCCAAGAGCTGCAGAATACACATTCTTTTCCTAAGCACATGGATTGTTCTCAAAGATAGAACATATGTTAGGTCACAAACAAGTCTTAAAACATTTTAAATAATTGAAATAATATCAAACATCTTTTCTGACGACCATGGAATAAAACTGGAAATCAATAATAAGTGTAATTTTAGAAACTATACAAATACATGGAAAGTAAAGCTCCTGAATGACCAGTGGGCCAATAAAGAAATTAAGAAAGACATTGAAAAAGTTATTGAAACACATGATAATGGAAGAACATCATACTAAAACCTATGAGATACAGCAAAAGCAGTAGTAAGAGAAAAGTTTACAGCTATAAGTACCTACATCAAAAAAAGAAGAAAAAACTTCAGACATTCTAATGATGCATCTTAAATTACTAGAAAAGCAAGAACAAACGAACCCAAAATTAGTAGAAGAAAAGAAAGAATAAAGGTCAGAGCAGAAATAAATGAAATTGAAATAAAAACAATAAAAAAGATCAATGAATCAAAAAGTAGTTTTGGTGAAAAGTTAAACAAAAGTGGCTGAAAAAAAAGAGAGAAGAACCAAATAAAATCAGAAATGAAAAATGAGGCATTACAACTAATACTGCAGAAATTCAAAAGATTATTACTGGGTACTCTGAACAATTATATGCCAATAAATTAGAAAATCTAGAAGAAATGGAAAATTACTAGATATGCACAACCTACCAAGATTGAACCAAGAAAAAATCCAAAACCTGAACAAGTAACAAGATCAAGCCATAATAAAACATCTTCCAGTAAAACAAACGCCCGGGACCTGATAGCTTCACTGCTGAATTCTATCAAACATTTAAAGAATTAATACCAATCCTACTCAAACTATTCCAAAAAACAGAGGGGGAAGGAATACTTCCAAAGTCACTCTACAAGGCAAGCATTACCCTGATACCAAAACCAGACAAAGACACAACAAAAAAAGAAAACTAAAGGTCAATATCTCTGTTAAATATTGATTCATAAATCCTCAACAAAATACTTGCAAATCAAATTCAAAAATACATTAGAAAGATTATTCATCATGACCAAGTGAATTTTATCCCTGGGATGCAAACATGGTTCAACATATGAAATCAAGCAATGTGATACATCATATCAACAGAATGAAGGGTAAAAACCATGGGATCACTTCAAATGATGCTGAAAAAGCATTTTATAGAATTTAACATCACTTCATGATATAAACCCTGAACAAACTGGGGATGGAAGGAATGTACCTCAACATGATAAAAACCATATATGACAGACCCACAGTTAATATCACACTAAATGGAGACAGACTGAAAGCCTTTCCTCTAAGACCTGGAACACAACGAGGATGCCCACTGTCACCACTGTTAATCAATATAGTACTGGAGTACTATCAAGAACAATCAGACAAGAGAAAGATATAAAGTATGTCTAAATTGGAAAGAAAGAAGACAAATTATCCTTGTTTGCTGATGATATGATACTAGGAAAAACCTAAAGACTCTACAAAAAAACTATTAAAAGTAATAAACAAATTGAGTAAATTTGCAGGATACAAAAATCAACATACAAAATTTAGTAGCATGTCTGAATGCAAACAGTGAACAATCTGAAAAAGAAATAAAAAAGTAGTCCCATTTACTAGCCACAGACAAAATTAAATATCTAGGAGTTAACTTAACCAAAGAAGTGAAAGATCTCTATAATGAAAACTATAAAGCACTAGTGAATAAAATTGAAGATGACACCAAAAAATGGAAAAATGTCTATGTTCATGGATTGGAAAATCAATATTGTAAAAATGTCCATACTACCTAAAGACATCTACAGATTCAATGCAATCCTTGTCAAAATACCAATGGCATTCCTCACAGAAATAGAAGAAACTACTCTAAAATTTATATGAAGCCAAGAATTCCCCAGAATAGCCAAAGATATCCTGAGCAAAAAGAAGAAAACTGGAAGAATCACATTACCTGACTTCAAATTATATTACAGAGTTATAGTTACTAAAACTGCATGGTACTGGCACGAAAAGAGACACATAGGCCAGTGGAAGAGAAGAGAGAACCCAGAAATAAGTCCACATACCTACAGTGAACTCATTTTTGACAAGTGCCATGAGAATACACTGGAAAAAAGACAGTCTGTTCAATAAATGGTGCTGGAAAAAACTGGATATCCATATGCAAAAGAATGAAATTTGACCCCTATCTTTCACTATACACAAAAATCAAATCAAAATGGATTAAAAACATATATATAGGACCTCAAAATATAAAACTACTATAAGAAAACTTGGGGAAAATCTCCAGGACATGGTCTAGGCATAGATTTCTTAAGCAATACTCCACAAGTGCAGGCAGCCAAAGCAAATCTGGACAAATGGGATCACCTCAAGTCAAAAAGCTTCTCCACTGCAAAGGATACAGTTAACAAGTTGAAGAGACAACCCACAGAATGAGAGAAAATATATGCAGACTACCCCCGACAAAGATTAATCACTAGAATATATAAGGAGTACAAACAACTCCACAGGAAAAATCTAATAATCTGATCAAAAAATGGGCAAAAGGTTTGAATAGATATTTCTCAAGACATACAAATGGCAAACAGGCATATAAAAGGTGCTCAACATCATTGATTATCAAAGAAATGCAAATCAAAACTACAATGAGATATAATCTCACCCCAGTTAAAATGGTTCATATCCAAACAACAGACAATAACAAATGCTGTTGTAGAGGATGTGGAGAGAAGTGAATCCTTGTACACTCTTGGTGTGAATGGAAATTAGTACAAGCACTATGGAGAACCATATGGCAGTCACCCAGGTAATCAGCATACTACCTAATAGGTAGTTTTCAATCCTCACCCTCCTCCAACCCTCCACCCTAACATAGGACCCAATGTCTTCTTTGCATCCATGTGTACTCAAAGTTTAGCTCCCACTTATAAGTGAGAACATGTAGTATTTGGTTTTCTGCTCCTGCATTAATTTGCTTAGGATAATGGCCTTCAGCTCCATCCATTTTGCTGTTAAAGCCATGATCTGATTTTTTTATAAAGCTGTATACCCATTTTTTGATTCTCACAATAGCTACCTGAGGTAGAAAAGCAAACATATTTTTCATGTTTTCAGATAAGGAAAGTCCTTTTCAGAAAAGGAAATTATAAGGGAATTTGAATTTGTTACCACTAGACTTGCATTACAAGAGGTCCTTAAGGGAGTGCTAAACATGGAAACAAAAGTCTTTTGCCTGCTACCACAAAGACACACTTACATAGCCCACTGCTACTATAAAGCAACTACATAGTCAAGTTTACATAGCATCCAGTTAACAACATGATGACATGATCAAATCCTCACCTATCAATATTGACCTTGAATGTAAATGAAGTAAACCCCCCACTTAAAAAGCAATGAGTGGTAAGTTGGAGAAAGAAACAAGACCCAACTGTATGCTGTCTTCAGGATCCATCTCATATGTAATGACATCCATAGGTTTAAAGTAAAGGAATAAAAAAAGATCTATAAAAAAAAAAAAAAACAGAAAACATGAAAGAGCAGGGGTTGCTATTCTTACCTCAGATAAAGCAGAACTTAAACCAATAATGATCAAAAGAACGAAGAAGGATATTACGTAATGCTAAAAGTTCAATTCAATAAGAAAACAGTCCTAAATATATATGCACCCAACACTGGAGCAGTCAGATTCATAAAACAGGTTCTTAGAGATCTACAAAGAGGCTTAGATAATCACACATTGACAGTGGGAGATTTCAACATCCTATTGACAGTGTTAGATAGATCATTAAGGCTGAAAACTAATGAAGATATTCTGGACTTACACTCATCACATGACCAACTGGACCTAATAGACTGTTGTGCTGAACCCATCTTAACTTCAGTAGATGAGGCATCAGGATCAAGAGGCTGCAGAGGTGACCCAGAGCCAGCAAACTAGACATGGGATTTTATTAAGGGCTTACATACAGGGGTAAGAGTCCAGTGGTGGTAGGTTAGACAGAAAAGCCACCTTATATACAGAAATGGTCAAGTAGTGGCATGCTGGACAAGCTATCTGCCTTACAGTCCAGCAGCAGCTGGCTGGAAAATACATCTACTTTCCTACAGTCCAGTGACAACGGGCTGAACAACACATCTTACGTTCTACAGTCCAGTGGCAGTGAGTCAGACAACATAACTGCATGGCCCAGTGGTGGTGGGCTAGGAAGGAAAACTGCAACTGCCTGCAAACGTCATGCAGTTTATGTAGCATTTTCACTTAATACCCCACCCCCAACACCTATAACCTCCACCCGGCAACCTTCATTTAACTCAAAACGCAGGGACTCATTCTCCTGTATGGTCCATGTTCCACAGGATGGGCCAGGGGCTCAGGTATTTTTCATAGATAAGGAATGAATCTCTGGGTTGGCCACACCCAGATTCCATAGCTTGGAACAAACATTCAGGTGCACATGCCATACAGGGTCATTCTAAGGTATCCTTATATTATTGCTTTCTGGTGCATTTACCCTACATAGAAATCTACAGAGTTCTCCACCTAACAACCTCAGAATACACATTCTTCTCATCTGCACACAGTACATAATCTAAGATCAACCACATACTTAGCCACAAAGCAAGTCTTAACAAATACAAAAAAAATTGAAATCATATCAACATTCTTAGACCACAGTGCAATAAAAATAGAAATCAATATCAAGAAGATACTCAAACCGTACAATTATATGGAAATTAAACAACTTGTTCCTGAATGACTTTGAGTAAAGAACAAAATTAAGGCAAAAATCAAAAGGTTATTTCAAACTGATGAAAACAGAGACAGAAAATACCAGAATCTTTGGGACACAGCTAAAGTAGTGTTAAAAAGAAAGTTTATAGTGCTAAATGCATACTTCAAGAAGTTAGAGACATCAGATTAACAACCTGACATCACACCTAGAGGAACTAGAAAAGCTAGAGCAAGCCAACCCCAAAATTAGAATAAAATAAATAACCAAAATCAGAGCAACTCTGAATGAAATTGAGATGCAAAAAATCATATAGAAGATAAAAAAAACAAAAGTTAGTTTTTTGAAAGAATAAATAAGTTTTATTGACCACTAGCTAGTATAATAAGGAATGAAAGAGAGAAGTTCCAAATAAGTACAATAAAAAATAACAAGGATGACCTTGACGACAACCAACAGAAATACAAAAGTCTCTCAGAGACTATTATGAACACTTGTATGAACACAAACTACAAAACCTAGTAGCAATGGACAAATTACTTGGAAATACACAACTTCCCAAAATTGAACCAGGAAGAAGTTGAAATCCTGAGCAGACCAATAAAAAGTTACAAAATTGAATCGATAATAAAAAGAATCCACCAACCAAAAAAAAAAAAAAAAAAAGCCTTGGATCAGATAGATTCACAGCCAAATACTGCTACACATACAAAGAAGAGCTAGTTCAATTCTAGTGAAATTACTCCAAAAAAAATCAAGGAACATAAGCTCCTTTCTAACTCATTCTACAAAGCGAGCATCATTCTGATACCCAAACCTGGCAGACACATAATGAAAAAGAAAATATCAGGCTAATATCTTTAATGAACATAGATGCAAAAATCCTCAACAAAATACTAGCAAATCAAATCCAGCAGCACATCAAAAAGTTAATTCACTATGATCAAGTAAGCTGTATTCCTGGGCTGAAAGGTTGGTTCAGCATATGTAAATCAATAAATGTAATTCACTATATTAAAAGAATTAAAAACAAAAACAAGAAATCATCTCAATAGATGCAGAAAAGGCTTTCAATACAATTCTACATATCTTCATATTAAAAACCCTCAACAAGTTAGGCATTGAAGGAACATAGCTCAAAATGATAAGAGCCACCTATAAGAAACCCACAGCCAACATTATACTGAATAGGCAAAAGCTAGAAGCATTCCCCTTGAGAACTGCAACAGGACAAAAATGCTCACTTTCACTACTGCTGTTCAACATAATATTACAAGTCCTAGCCAGAGCTATCAGGCAAGAGAAAGAAATAAAAGGTATCCAAATAGGAAGAGAGGAAGTCAAATTATCTCTTTTCACAAATGATATGACTCTCTAACTGGAAAACCCTAAAGACCCTGGGAAATGGTATCTAGAACTGACAAGTGACTTTAGTAAAATTTCAATATGAAAAATCCATGTACAAATTCAGTAGCATTTCTATACACCAATAACATTCAAGCTGAGAATGAAATCAAGAATGTAATCACATTCAAAATAGCCACAAAAGGAATAAAATAATTAGGAATACAGCTTGCTAAGGAGGTGAAAGATATCTGCAATAAGAATTACAAAACACTGCTCAAAGAAATCAGAAATGACACTAACAAACAAATGGAAAAATATTCCATGCTCATGGATAGGAAGAATCAATGTTGTTAAAATGGACATACTGCCTAAATCAATTTACAGATTCAGTGCTACTCCTATAAAAGTATCAACATCATTTTTCACAGCATTATAAAAAAAGTTTTCTAAAATTCATATGGAATCAAAAAAGAGCCCAAATCACCAAAGCAATCCTAAGCAAAATGAACAAAGCCAGATGCTAACACTACCAAACTTTGGATTACACTACAAGGTTACAGTATCCAAAATAAAATAGTACTATTACAAAAATAGACACATAGACAAATGGAACAGGATAGAGAACACAGAAATAGAGCCACACACCTACATCCATCTGATCTCCAACAAAAACAAGCAATGGGGAAAGGACTCCCTATTAAATAAATGGTACTAGGATAACTGGCCAGCCATATGCAGGAGATTAAAACTGGACCCCCTAATTTTTACCATACACAAAAATTAACTCAAGATGGATTAAAGATATACATGGGAGACATAAAACTATAAAAATCGTAGAAGAAAATCTAAAAAATATCATTCTGGGTATTGACCTGGGCAAATTATTTATGACTAAGTACACAAATGCAAGTGCAACAAAAACAAAACTGACAAGTGGGACCTAATTAAACAAAACAGCTTCTGTACAGCAAAAGAAACTATCAACAGAGTAAACAGACAATAGGCAGAAAGGGAGAAAATATTTGCAAAGTATGCATCCAACAAAGGGCTAATATCCAGAATCTATAAGGAACTTAAACATATCAATAAGGAAAAAGCAAACAACCTCATTAAAAAATAGGCAAAGACCATGAACAGACACTTCTCAAATGAAGACGTACATGTGGCCAACAAATATATGAAAAAATGCTCAACACCACAATGAGGTAGTATCTCATTGTGGTTTTGATTTGCACTTCTTGTTAGAGAATCAATGATTCAATCAATGAATCAATCATTCTCATTAGAGAAATGCAAATCAAAACCACAATAAGAAACAATTTCATACCAGTTAGAATGGCTATTATTAAAAATTTGAAAATAATAGGTGCTGACAAGGTTGTAGGGAAAAGGGAACACTTATACACTGTTGATGGGAATGTAATTAGTTCAGCCACTGTGAAGAGCAGTGTAGAGGCTTCTCCAAACACTTAAAAGAGAACTACCATTTTACCCATCAATCTCATTACTGAATGTATACTACCAAAAAGACACATGCACTCTTTTGTTCATCATAGCACTATTCACAATAGGAAAGACATGGAATTAACCTAGATGTCCAACAACAGCATGTTGGATAAAGAAAATCTGGTACCTGTACACCATGGAATGCTATGCAGCCCCAAAATGAAAAAAAATGATGTCCCTTGCAGCAACGTGGATTCAGCTGAAGGCCATTATCCCAAGCAAATTAATGCAGGAACAGAAAACCAAATACCACATGTTCTCACTTATAATTGGGAGCTCAGCATAGAGTACACACAGACACAACAGTGGGAACAATAGACACTGGGGACTATTAGAGGAGGGAAGGTACCAGATGGGCAAGGTTTGAAAAGCTAACTATCAGGTACTGTGCTCACTACCTGGGTGACAGAATCCTTCATACCCCAAACCTCAGTGACACACAATTTTCCTATGTAAAAAATCTGCACATGTACCCCCTGGACCTAAAACAAAAGTTGAAAAATATAAAAACAAAAAAATTATACTTCATATTTAAGAACAAATATAATGGAATTTCCTCAATGATGATGATAGGAAAATGAACATTTTAATGGTCAGATTGCAAGGTTCCTTCCAACTCTAAGATTCTTGGACTTTCCTCAAAGGAAATGAAAGATAAATAGTCATTTAATGATTAACTATAGCTCTTCAAGCAAACTGATTTGAAAAAGAATATTTGCCTTGAGGTAATCCATCTAGTTACTGAGAATTAAATATCATTTGTCTCAAAATAGCTGGAAAAAAGCATTTTGAATGTTTCTACCAAAAGTAAATGACAAATGTTCGAGTGATGGATGTATTAATTACCCAGATTTGATCACTACACAAGGTATATAAGTATGGAAACATCACATTGTGCCCCACAAATATGTACAGTTGTTATTATGTATCTATTAAAAATAAATAAGCATATTGTTAAGTGTTTAAAAATATTGAAATGGCTCTATCTATAGATTAAAAAGTTTATTTTCTAGATCCATTCTAGATTTTGCATGTGGATTTGCTGCAAATAAATGTAAGACACCTTGTCAAGAGAAAGTACAGTACCAAAAATAGTTTACATAGTATATAAAAATGAGTACATACTTAGTAAACGCTTGTTTAAAGGATAGATAGATGCACAGACATATGAATAAATGGATGAATGAGGATGGCAGACATCAAGCTCTTAGTTCTATTTGGGTGAGTGTTCAAGGAAAAGACAATTTAAAGCAACTGATTTGGTTGATATTTTCATTATTTAAATTTTCACTGTGAATAAAATAAAGCAATAGCCCCCATTCCCAAAGGTTTTACAAGCAGGTGTGTGTGTGAGTGTGTGTGTGAGTGTGTGTGTGTGTGTGTGTGTGTGTGAAAATTAAATGGAGCTAAAATGAATAAATGAAGCTCTCATTGTTAAAACCTGCCAAGGAAAAGAACAGTTCTTGTGTTAACAGACAATATCCCTGTAAGAAGGCATCAGGCCTATCCTTGAAATTGGGCAACCAGCTTAGACTGATTCGGGTGATGTCCTTCTTACATATTTCTTCTGATCATAGTCTTCTGAAAGGCATTTGCTCGAAATCTCATTTATATTTTCTAATCCATAGGTTGATACTATTTTGTTTGTACTGAACTGATCTATAGAAATTAAAACAAGATAACACAAGCAAATCTCTAGTCAGATGCATGAAGGGCAGACAACAAAAGGAAATACCATATCTGCTGTTCTCTGTTTTACTTCAGATTTTCTATTGCTGGCAAAAATGCAGATTCTGCAGATATGCCAAAACTATTTTTCTATATGGTGAGAAAAGATCTTTGAATAAAACCTACCTGTAGAATTTTACCTTTTGTTATAATTGGATTTTAAACCAAAATAACTTAACACTGATAAAGGCATTAAAGGTCAGGAAATAATGGGTCCAGGGTGAACAACTAAGTCAACAAGGCTTATCCCTGCTTCCCTGAAATATTACACAAAACTTCCATTTCTTTAGAAAGGAATATAGTTTGGCTGAATTATCCTGAAATTCAAAGTCCTCCACAGTATGGACTCAACCATTTTGACCTCCTCTGCAGCTCATGCTACAGATATATTCCGATATATTGGACTTTCTGGATTTCCCAAGTGCCTTCCTGTCTTCTATGTCTTTGTTCATACTGCTACTTTTGCTTAGAATCTTTTCATGTCATCTCCGCCTGTCTAAATTCTGCCCATATTTCAAAGTCCATATCAAATACCAACTCCATGAAGTCTTGTAGATTCTCACGGAACATTACTTCCAATTATATTCACTCTGCCTTCTGTGTTAGGTGTTTGAGGATTTCCTATTTATCTTTGCATCCTCCAAATTCTTGCTCAGAGTAGGAGCTCAGTAAATATTTGTTGCATACTGTCAAATGTTCTATATTTTACTAGGTATTACCATTCTTTCATTCATTCAAAAAATATTTACAGAATATAGAGGAATGAACATGAAAGACAATATCTGTATCTTTTTAAAAGATTTATCCTCTTGGAAGAGATGAAAATAATCAATATATAATTAAGGAAGTAAAATTCAACATCCCTTCATGTTAAAAACTCTCAACAAACTGGGTATGGAAGAAACATACTTCAAAGTAATGAGAGCCATCTATGGCAAACCCAGAGCCAACATCATACTGAATGGGGAAAAGCTGTAAGAATTCCCCTTGAAAACTGGCACAAGACAAGGATGCCTTCTCTCAACACTACTTATTCAATATAGTATTGGAAGTCTTGGCCAGAGCAATCAGGCAACAGGAAGAAATAAAATGCATCCAAATAGGAGGAGAAGAAGTCAAACTATCCCTGTTTCTAGACCTAAATCTGTATCTAGAAAACCCCATAGTCTTGGCCCAAAACCTCCGTCAGCTGACAAACAATTTCAGCAGTTTCTGGATACAAAATCCATGTACAAAATCCCTGCGGTGGCCCACGCCCGTAATCCCAGCACTTTGGGAGGCCGACGCAGGTGGATCACCTGAGGTCAGGAGTTTGATACCAGCCTGGCCAACATGGCAAAACCTAGTCTCTACCAAAAATACAAAAACTAGTGGGGCGTGGTGGCACACACCTATAATCCTAGCTACTTGGGATGCTGAGGCAGGAGAATCCTTGGACCCAGGAGGTAGAGATTGCAGCGAACCTAGATGGCACCATTGCACTCCAGCCTGGGTGACAGAATGAGACTCCATCTCAAGAAAAGAAAAAAATCACTAGCATTCCTATATACCAACAATAGCCAAGCTGAGAGCCAAATCAGAAACACAATCCAATTTACAATAGCCACAAAAATAATAAAATAGCCAGGAATACAGCTAACCAGAGAAGTGAAAAATCTCTACAATGAGAATTAGAAAACACCTAGAAGAATTCTGAGTTGGTACAAACAAATAGATAGGAAGAATCAATATCATTAAAATGGCCACACTGCCCAAAGCAGTTTACAGATTTAATGCTATTCTTATCAAATTACCAATGACATTCT